>NC_000004.12:88315320-88466835 GCF_000001405.40 Homo sapiens | reverse complement strand
TTCCCTTTGTTGAAACAAGCACCTCCCCTTGCCCTCTGCTCATTTTTCAACATCAGTTTGAGTCACCACCTCTTGGAAACCATCTCTGAGTCCCTTCACTTTCCATCCTGGAAGACTCAGTTGAGTTCCCACTTAATTTCTCAAAGACCTTTACCACACTGATTTTCCTATTGATTTGCTGGTTTGTATATTCCACTATACTGTTGTGTAGCAAGGAATCTGCCTTGCCCAGAGAGGTCTGGCTGGTGCCCTGTTCCTAGGAGGTAACCTCTAAACCCACAGAATTCCCCAAGTGATAGAGGAGAGTCTTTATTATTCATGGCAGGATCCTGGGAGAGCTCTCCTGGCCTGTGATGTAAATCAGACCTACAGGAGGGCAGTGCTGGAGATTAAGTTTAACTATCCGGGCAATGATTTAACCAATCATGCCTCAGCAATAAAACCCCTCAATTTAGGTGGGGTGTGGTGGCTCATGCCTGTAATCCCAGCACTTTGGGAGGCCAAGGCAGTAGGATACTTTGAACCCAGAAGTTTAAGACCAGCCTGGCCAATATAAGGAGACCCTATCTCTACAACAAATTTAAAAATTAGCTGGGCATGGTGGACCTGTGGTCCCAGCTACTCAGGAGGCTGAGGCAGGAGGATTGCTTGAGCCTGGGAGGTCAAGGCTGCAGTAAGCCATGATAGCACCACTGCAGTCCAGCCTGGGTGACAGAGTGAGACCTTGTCTCAAAAAAAAAAAAAAACCACCAAACCAAAAACAACTCTTGACTTGGTCTTGACTTGGGTGAACTCCTCTGACTAGATGGCAGATTATGTACATCCTGTACCCTGTCTCCAAAATAAAAAAACCAGAAAAAACAAAAACAACTCTCAACTTGGGTGAATTTCTCTGATTGGCTGGCAAATTCTGTATGTCCTGTCACATTATCAGGCCAGAAGAGATAACACCATCCACCTGCTCCAAGGGGAGGTGACAGCCACAAGCTCAGCATTTGCAGCCCTCCTATACCCTGCCCTTATGTGTCTTCCTTTGACTGGTACTAGTTTGTATCCTTTTCTTGTAATAAATGTGACTATGAGCATAATAGCTTTTAGTAAGTTCGTGAGTCTTTCCAGTGAATTGTCCTGTTAGTAGGGGTATTGCCCTGATGTGCATTAAGACAGATCTCCAACTTGCCTCCTTCTCTTGTAATACATGCTACTCAAAAGGACTGTATGTAATGAAGAATCCAAAGAGGTGATAAGACTGCTTTGGTTAAGAGATACCGAATGAGGTATAAATATTGAAGAGAACGCTTCTTTGGTGAAGAGACTCATATTCCGATAATTTGGTCTACCTTAATAATATTACCCATTTATGTAATTCTACTCCAAGATCATAAGAAAATATGCCTACAGACTGAAAGTATTCATGCTAGTTTTTTATAAGAATGGTTTCAGTAAACTAACAAATGAACCCAGCATTCAAATACAGTCTGAATTTTGCTCTACGTTTAGTGAGGGAAAAACTGCCCAAAAGAATAAGTGTATATGGGGGAAAATATTTTTTAATCCTACCAACTTCCAACATCCCTCTGGCAAGACGTGGACTGATATATCTGATAATCAAAAAAATTAAATAGTGGCGTGGTGGCTCACCCCTGTAATCCCAACACTCTGAGGGGTCAAGGCGAGCAGATCACCTGAGGTCAGGAGTTCAAGACCAGCCTGGCCAACACGGTGAAACCCCGACTCTACTAAAAATACAAAAATTAGCCGGTTGTGGCCAGGTGCAGTGGCTCATGCCTGTAATCCCAGCACTTTGGGAGGCCGAGGCAGGTGGATCACAAGGTCAGGACATCGAGACCATCCTGGCTAACACAGTGAAACCCCGTCTTTACTAAAAATACAAAAAATTAGCCAGGCGTGGTGGCGGGCGCCTGTAGTCCCAGCTACTCCGGAGGCTGAGGCAGAAGAATGGTGTGAACCCAGGAGGCGGAGCTTGCAGTGAGCCGAGATTGCGCCACCGCACTCCAGCCTTTGCAGCAGAGCGAGACTCCGTCTCAAAAAAAAATAATAAATAAATAAAATTTAAAAATTAGCCAGTTGTGGCAGTGCACGCCTGTAATCCTAGCTATTCCAGAGGCTGAGGTGGGAGAATAACCTGAGCCTGGGAGGCGGAGGTTGCAGTGAGCTGAGATTGCGTCACTGCACTCCAGCCTGGGCAACAAAGCAATACTCTGCCTCAAAAAAAAAAACCAAAAACCAAAAAACAAACAAACAAACAAACAAGAAAACCAAAAAACCTTTAAATAAACTAAGGAGTCTGAGCAAGACATTTTACCTTTCTTTTCTAAAAAGGAGCTGTGAAAATTAAACTTCTTAGGAATATTTCACTCAAACCATCACTGACTATGTCTTATACTTTACTGTGATCAGGGCAGGCTACAATGAAAGAACTCTGGTAATTAAAAAGTATGTTGGCCACAAGGCATTGTCAGAGAGGGTGATTACATTTAATGAATAATCCTTTGTGATTTACATTTTATTTTTCCCAAATAAACAATTAATGACTTGTTTTTTTAAGACAAAAGTGCACCTGAATAGTTACAAAGGTATTTCACTAAGGAGACAGCAGAAAGTGAATTGTATCTGCTCATTTAAAAAAAAAAAAAAAAAAAAAAATCAAAGAAAACAACCATGTATAGTAAAAGGGGTATTACATTTATCTAAATAATATAAATTAAGCATTTTCACTGATTTGAAAATGTTTGATACATCTCAAAGAAACTGAAAGAAATTTTATTAAATTACTATCTAGTTTGCTGCACTCATTTTATCAATTCTTATTGATACTTTACAACTTACCTTCCACATGCTATCTGAGTCACTCTATACCCAACAAGCTCAGCCACCAAACAGGGTCTTAGCTCATTCTGTGTTGAATTATGACCAAGTTGCCCATGTTTTCCAGCACCGAAAGTAAACAGCAGCCCATCCTAAGGAAAGGGAATGTCATATCAGATGCTAGAAAAATAAAATAAAAAAGTAGTATTCACTGATGCAAAGTGAATCACTAATAAATAGCACTGTCAAAGTAAAGCTCCTAAATATCAGAAGGACAGTCCTACATACAGGAAGTGATGACCTTTCTTCTCTGGGAAACACTAACTTCCCATACAAACTGTTCTTCTAAAAATACAGCCAAAAAGAGACAAGGGTACACCCACCTGTGTGAGTAGGGCACTGTGAGAGCCACCACAAGCGACAAATTCAACTTTCTGATTGTCTAGTCCTTCAATAAGGGATGGATCATCTTTACCTATGTAAGGAAAAAAATAGCTGAAGTGACCAAAAGGAAATGCTGAGTTTCACAGTGGAGTTACCTGGACTGCTGCTTCTCAACCCAGCGACAACAGTTCTCATGATATTCTGACAAGAAAGGCTCTATGTTGCCATGTTTAGGATCAAGTTCTACGCCTCAGGGTGAAGGTGGGACCAGTGGCCAAAAGGATCACACTTAGGGGCACCCACCTGTGAAAGGGTCAAACCACTTCCCAAAGCCTGTTCTCAGTTATGACTTGATTCACTTTAATTGCAGCACATTAGATATTTCCAACAGCCATCTAGAATTACTTTTAATGAACATAGCAATTCCTTTCTTTCAAATTATCTACTAGTGTCATCACCTGACACTACCTCTTCTTTTCTTCATGATTATTTTCATGTCAAAAGCACTCAGAGATTCAGCCAAAGTAGTTTAATGGCCGCTTTATTCTCTTCTCTCCTTTGAATATTTTTCTAACACTGACTTATGGGCTATTCTGTGTAATGACCATTGCACTGTGTCAGGGAGAAATGAGTAACCAGTGATCCAGGGTAATGCATACAGTACCACAGCTGGGTAAAGCAGCAGAATTTCTTACACCTGAAAACTCTTAATGAGTTGTTTGGGATCATGAGAAATTTCACCATCAGCTTTGTTCAATAATGGAAATTACATGTTTCTTCATGTGTGTTTACAGACATAATTGATACCTTATAGAATAAGATCAGGATATGTGAGTTCTTAAATATAATTTTAGTATTCTTTTGTAATAATACACTAACAGACTTTAAGTGCAAAGGCTTTAAAGGTCATCTCATCCAAACTTGTCACTTGACAGAAAAAGAAAATGAGGTCTAGAGAAAAGTTTAGTGACTGGGCAAGGCTTGCAGTTAGTAAACTGCAAAGTGGGAATCAGAATCCAGGTTCTCATCCCTAATTCAATGCCCTTTCCCGTCTCACACACAGCCCTGAAACATGTCTCAATTACAGTAACAACTTCCACACTATGTATGCCTCTTGGACTGATTCTGCCCTGAAGACAGAGAGGTAATCAGGAAGAGCAGTGAAAATGAAAGTGAAGATTTGAACCATTTTTGACAGGGAGGTCCATTAAATTCATCTAACAAGTATATCTGTTGGTAATAGGAATCTGAGAATGTGTTCCATACTCTCAGTGTGGCCCAGGCCTAGTTGTCCACATTCATTTTTTCCCCATGAATAAATGTTGCCAGACATGGATAAGGCCATGCTGTGGGCTTCTCCGGCAGAAATCTGAGCCAAGGGTACTCCTGCGAGGTGCTCCACAATCTGTGGTGTGGTGGTTGAGGGAAATTTCCTTCCAACTCCAAGCTGCCCATGCAGGTTCTGTCCCCAGGCAAAAAGCTCACCACCTTGACATAAACAAAGCAAATGCTGTTTTATTCCATTTAAAATGCAGCAGACATTACCCTAAAGCATTATGCATGCTCTACCTAGTATAATATCACAATATTGTACCTTTGCACTGATGGTACTCTCAGTTACCCTATGTCTGCCACAGAAAAACACAGAATCTTCTCTTTAGCAGTGACAGTTACACTTCCTTATCCCTCACTTCAAAAGTGAAGCTATTTGAACATATTAAATAATATCTTCAACATAATAAATTTGATTATAAATCAAATTCAAGAAATATTTACTTTAAAACACTCAGAGGACGGGCCCATGAAAAACAGAAGCAATCTACCTCTATGAAAAACCCCAGCGCTACTGTTTTCTCTCATGTGCCTAATGATCCCAAATAAACAACTGTAAAATTCATTTGAAATTACAAGATCCCAAATAAACAACTGTAAAATTAATTTCAAATTACAGTTTCTTGAACGAGTCAGTTTCTTCTTCCATTAACTGAATATATGGAGCACATTTTTTAGGGAGCGTTCTTAGATGTTATCTGATAGAGCTGACAATATCTAATAGAGTCTAAAAAAATACACCAGAGAATTAAGGTTTACTGGAATCTC
Organism: Homo sapiens; assembly: GCF_000001405.40. NCBI lineage: Eukaryota > Metazoa > Chordata > Mammalia > Primates > Hominidae > Homo > Homo sapiens. The sequence continues at coordinate 88,461,522 of NC_000004.12, read as the reverse complement.
TTTGCAAGATATTGTGCAGGATGTGGTGGGAAGCAGAGCCTCTCCTTCACACACAATTTTCATGCACCTGTCAACCACCAGGAATATAATGATGAGCATGACCAGTTTCTTTTCTTGCTTCCCCAACTTTTATTCTTTCTGTACTGTGATTTACTAGTAATAAACTCTGAATATCCCTTTACCCTTGTACATACACGCCTCTAGACCCTGGGCTTCTTAAAGGCAGGGCTTGTGTGTTTCATCTTCATAATCCGAACACAGTAGATAATATGAAATATTTGTTCATGAATGAATGAAGTCAAATGATCAATTTCTTCCAATACAAGTTCATACTATCAAATCTCAACAGGCCTTGCAATGAAGGTCAAATACTCACTAATTATTAACTTCCCTTGAATCCCAGATTCTATTCAGTTTATGAACATGTTTACATCTGTCCTATATATTAACAAAAATTCCCTTGACTTCGAATTCCCCTCTATTACCCTACTTCTATCTTAATTATTCCATTCACAGTAAGTTTCTTTTTTTTTGAGACAGGGTCTCGCTCAGTTACCCAGGCTGTAGTGCAGTGGCACGATCATGGCTCACTGCAGCCTCAAACTCCTGGGCTCAAGGGATCCTCCTGCCTCACCCTCCCAAGTAGCTGGGACTACAGGTGGAAGCCACCATGCCCAGCTAATTTTTAAGTTTTTTTGTAAAGATGAAGTCTCCCCATGTTGTCCAGGCTGGTCTCAAACTCCTGGCTACAAGTGATCCTCCCACCTCAGCCTCCCAAAGTGCTGGGATTATAGGCATTAGCCACCAAGCCTGGCCTCATAGTCAAGTTTCTTTAGGAAATAATTCATATTCACTGCTTCCATTTCCCACCATGACAGTGTCTGATAGAAAATGGGAAATACTACAGGGCTAGGGAGATCCTTGAATTCAAAAGCAATGTTAAAACGTATCAGAGGTCTGCAGCCTGGCCACAAAAGGGGATTCTGAGCCGGAAGAGTGGAAGTTGGAAAGGTGTTAGGAAAAGGGAAGCAGTTTCTGGAAAAGGGTGGCCCCAGGCCTGGATCAGATGTAGAGAAAACAGTTTTGATTATTCAGAAAATTTTCACTGTTTCGTACTTGAAAAATAAAAACATGAAACCAAATTTAGGAATAGTAATTTTGGAAACCTGAACATTTTACAGATCCAAGAATTCTCTCATTATGTATTTACTTTAAGAATCGTACTCGGAACCATATCAAATTCAAAACTGTATTTCTGTCCTGTTACAAGTGAAATATAGACATTCTACTGGCTCCACATATACACACAGGTATTACTTCTACAAAACTATTAATATTACAGAAAAATTACCTTTTGAGAGTGCAAGAGAATGGTAATCTCCACATGTGATCTGAATTATTTTTTTTTCTTGTAAAATGCTTTCAAACCTGATGAAGGAAAATACACTTTGTGTTAATCACCATAATGAAAGTTACAACATGGATTTTAGAACTATTAATAGTATTTAATTAGAAATGAAGCTCAAGAAAAAACTTTCAATTTACTGCATCACATTCAGTACATCTAAAATTATTTTTTAAATACTATGTTTTAATTAAGAAAAAATATGCATTACATAATTATAATAAAATATTATGCAAACAATTTTAGGATGCAGGAATAAATGCAAGATGAAAATGAGTTCTAATTCATATAATCTACTAGGGAAAAGTCTCACAAATTATTTCATGATAATGTGTATTTTTTCTAGGTTAAAAACTTTTATTTCCAGAAATTTAACTTATAGGATTATTGTGAGGATCAAATGAGTTAATGAATAGGAAAGTCCAATTTAGGGCTAGGCAGACTATTTAATCATTTCCTTTAAATGCCAAAACAACACATGATACCTGCCCTGGGGGACATAAGGACTTTACTGGTCAGTTCAGAATTTATTATTTACTTAAGATGCTACTATATAAAGCAGGGGACAAGAATCAGATATTTCCTACAGAAATTATTATTGTCTTTTGATTAAAATTAATTTTTAATAAAAGAAAAAAGTTCCCTACCTTAGATGTTTCATGCTATAGTTGTCATACTCAAATGGTTTTCCATCTGATGAGAGAATCAGCATGTGCTCTGCTCCTTGGTCCACGGAATGTATCTTCATGTTTTTTCCTAATTTAATGCATTCTACAGAGCAAATCCAACCAGGAACTATTGTCACTTTGATTATTACCCACTGTATTACTAACTTCATTATAATACACTTAAAACATCTGGGAAAAATTTCAACTAGACAAGCTTTGACTTACCATGAACTTCTCTTAAGAAAATTCAGGTAGGCAAAGCAAATCAGGAAAGACAACGGTCTTGACATAGATTTTTTTTAATTAGAAAAAATATTGATGTATACTTTGTTGTAAATGGAACATACCCTTAAAATATCCAATTAAATATCTGCTTTTAGGTTCTTGTTTATTAAGACGAACGAAATTTGAAATGACAAAGATGAAAAGGTCTATAAGAAAATATAACTTTAAGACAACATAATCTCATTTCAAGAACAAATAGTGTATTCTGAAACACATTCCTTTCTCCCAAAAAGCAAATAACAGTAATAAACACTTCCCGACAGTTACCAATAGAAACCAATGCCTATATTCTTAAAAGGAAGGATTATGTTTGGGGGACTATCTTTAAAGAGGATGCTGTTGAAAACATTTTTCATTGGCATTAGTGCACATTTGGCCCTTTCTGAAGTTAAGAGATTAAACTGTCCACTAGTAAAAATGTACTCTTATTTAATTTGTTCACAAAAATTAAACTAGGATAGTTTTGGGACCTTGTTTCATCTTCAGTGCTAATGAAATAGAATCTATTCGTGTAAAAATCTCAAAGCACAAACCATATTACAAATGCTAGGGGAACCAAAACAGTTTGGTAATAAGAAATGGTCCAGCAGACTAACGGTTTCTTTTAAAGAGTCTCAGCATTTCAAATCAGTTGAAAAAAAGGAAGTATTAAGAAATGGTATTGGGACATAGGCTAAGCCTTTGGAAAAGCAAATAAATCTAGCTCCCCTCCTACCTCAGTACTGAAAATTCCAAGCGTACGAAAAATTTTAACTTAAAAAAAAAAACCTTAAAATTACTACAAAAATGAGTACATTTTTTAAAACACTGGGAGTGTGGATAGCTTTCCAGCCTAACATAAAACCCATAAGCCTTAACAGACAAAAAAATTGACAGACTACCCCCCAAAAAATGCACTAAAAACAACATGCACAAAAGGCAAAGTGAGAAAAATATTACATGTACGACGTGCAAAAGGCTATTCTTATTCAATATTCAAATACCTCTTCCATACAAATAAGAAAAAGATTTAACAACTCAAATTTCTAAAAGCCAGGCAAAGATAAACAGGCAATTTACCGAAAAAGGAACGCAAACGTCCAGTAGTTAAACGCAAAATAAACTCGCAGCAAGATACCAATTTCTTCACTCCACAGATGGGCAAAATTTTAAAGAACGCGGGCAACTATTTCCCCCACTTCGATGAGAATGTGGGAGAAGTGCAACTGAAGGCCAAGGTAAAATCCCATCACTGAGAACGACTCCCAAAGTTGGAGCAGTGACTACTTTCTCAAAACGAGACAGTGGGAGATGCGGCGGGCGGGGGACGGGGGTACAAACTTGAACAGAAACCTATGAGAAAGCCAGACTGGCTAAAAGGATGAAGACGGTGCCCGCATGCCCCGCACCGGCCACTTTGCTGAGCGGAGGATCCGCTGGTCGCCAGTATCCCGCTCACCCCGCGCCTGACACTGACCGGGATAAAAGACAGCTCAGGTGCGCCGTCGGCGAAACTATCCGAGCCAGGCGCGCGTCTGCGGCCTTCTGGGCTCTCCTCCCTCAGGCGCGGACCCCCGGCTGCCCGCCCCTCACAGCCCTCAGCCCTCACCCCTCACAGCCCTCACAGCCCTCACACACCAGCCCCACTCACTCGGCGTCCGGGCGCCGCCGCTCCCGGCGAGCAGCTGGTGAACCTGGACGCCCGCCCCGCCGCGTTCCAAGACCGCGAGGCGCCCCGGCGAGCAGCAGAGTTGGCGCGTCACCTCCACCCTCCGGAGCAGCGCGCGGTGGAGGCCCGCGGCGCTGGGAAAGAGCCAGAGCTGTGCGCCCGGAGACTTCGCGGGCTGGGTCGCGGCGGCCTTGCCCGCGGTCGAGCGCCCGTTGCGCCGCGACTTCCTCCGCGACCTCCGCTCCATCGCCGCTTTGCGGGGTCCCAGGCCCAGAGGCGAGAGGAGAGAACGCCTGGTCCCGGGACTGAGCGCGCCCACTGCCTCAGGCGTTGCGCTGCAGAGCGGGAACCAGCTGCGCGCAGCTGCGTGGCGTCGGGGAACCGCAGCCTCAGCTACTGAGCCCCTGCCGGGACGCCACGCCCCCCACGTGCTGTTTGGGGGCGGGGCCTGCAGCTCCAGTGGAAAACGAAACATAATGTTTGTTGTTGTTTTTAGGGGGCGGAATCGAAAAGGAAAAGGAAACTGTAATGAGAGTGACTTGGCAGGCGGCCAAAGGCAACAGGTCGTTGGCTGGGGTAAAGGCCGATGGGCTGGACTGAGAAAGTGTCCCCGGGCGGGCAGCGGCCACCTTAACTCCTGGACGGAATGGCTTTCGAGGAAACGCTGCAGTTCCACTAGGAGGCACCCTGACACACGCATTTCCAGAGGGAGGGATAACGGAAGCCAAAGTTTGTTAAGCGTTGTGCGCCGCGGCCGGGCGCGGTGATTCACGCCTGTAATCCCAGCACTTTGGGGGGCCGAGGCGGGCGGATCACGACGTCAGGAGATCGAGACCATTCTGGCTAACACGGTGAAACCCCGTCTCTACTAAAAATACAAAAACAAAATTAGCTGGGCGTGGTGGCGGGCGCCTGTAGTCCCAGCTACTCGGGAGGCTGAGGTGGGAGAATGGCGGGAACCCGGGAGGCGGAGTTTGCAGTGAGCCGAGATTGCGCCACTGCACTCCAGCCTGGGCGACAGAGCGAGACTATGTATCAAAAAAAAAAATGCGTTGTGCGCCGGGCTGAAACCGGCATAAAACTGGGCAGAGCTATGCAGGCAGCTACCCTCCCCCCCACCCCTACCCCCACCCCCACCCCCCTCGTGCCCGCTCCGCTACGTATTCCCGTATTCCCGGGTGCCTGGCAACAGTGATGTGCTTTAGGCCTTTTTTAGAATGCATACAAACGGAACCATATCTAAGTGATGTCTGGCTTTTTTAACTTAGCACAATGCTTTGAGATTCATACTATTGTGTTTAATTAGTAATTCATTTGTGTTATTGTTGAATGGTAGTCTATCATATGGGTAAGCCACAGTTTATTTATCCATTCACCAATTGATGGGCCTGTCGGTTGTAGGGAACAGGAGAAAACTTCCCCTTTGCCCTCTGAAGGGTCACCGAAAATCAACTGACAAGGCTGGGCCTGGGCTCCTGCCTGTAACCCCAGCCCTTTTTTAGCCCAAGGCAGGAGGATCTCTTCTTTGTGAAGTGTGTATTCAAATCTTTTGACCATTTATTTATTAGCTAGCTTGACTTTTTATCTAAGAGTTCTTTATATATTATTGAGTTCTTTATATGTTTCATACCATGTTCTTTATTAGCTATACGTTTTGAAATGTTTTCTACCTGTCTGTGGCTTGCCTCTTCATTTTAAGTGTCTTTTGAAGCACTGAAGTTTTCAATTTTGATGTAATTTATCCATTTTTTTCTTTTACATAGTTCATACCTTTTTTGTCCTACTTAAGACATTTTTGCTAAATTCAAGATTATAAGATTTCCTCATTTGTTACCTTCTGGAAGTTTTATAATTGTTGGTCTTCATTATATTTAAAATGAATTATTCTTTATAGTATCGATAGATGCTGGAGGCAGATAAGGGAGGGTCCCTGGAGAATCTCTGACCTGCCTCACAAGCTTTTGTGCAGCTGAGGAAGCCTGCCCAGGGTCTTGTCTGGGCATGCCCACAAGGGACTTGGGGGCCCACTGCACCAGGAGAGTGGGGTGCAGCCAGAGGGAATTCAGCCTTATGCAGCAGGGATGAGCAAGAAGTCTTCAGCTTGTGTGTGTTGGCCTGTTATTCAGTCTGTGAGCTGGGAGCCTGTTGGCAGGACCCTCCTTGTTTTTTTGCTAAGAGCTTTTAATAAATGCCACTCTTCACCTTGCAATGTATTCACATGCCTAATTGTTCCTGGTCATGAGACAAGAACCTGGATTTTAGCTGAGCTAAGGAGCAAAAATTCCTGCATCAGTATGAGGTAAGAATAAAGGTTCTTTTTTTTCCTTATGGATTTCCAGTCGTTCCAGCTTGCCTATCCCCATGGAATTGCCTTGGCATCCCTGTCAAAACTCAGCTGGCCGTATATTATAACCTCAGAGCCAGCCCAAACTGGCCCTACTCTGTTGATAACAAAATGGCCAGTTACCCTGTAGGTATAACAGAGCCAAAACTGCAAGTTATGTAGACTGGGCATGTGCCATGGAAAAAGCTTTGACCTCTAACAATGAAACGGGAAAGGTTCCCTTGTCCCCTTCGTAGGGCATGCGGCAGTGGGAGTGGGTCGCTTCTTCAGTGCCCCACTGCTCACACCTCTAGGGGAGCATACAGACAGGCAGGTTTTGGGGCTCCAACCCCACGCCAGTGTCTAGGGGTGGATGTTTACTGCTCCTGAAGCACCAGTGGGCTGTGCTACTGTGTGCTTTTTTAGTTTTGCTGTCTATAGGCACTTGTGTTAACCAGCTCAATTAGACCCTCTACCTTGTCACAAGGACAGAAGACTTTCTGTATCCCAGGTTCTTGCCTTGGTGTACCAGAAGAATTGTATCACATGTGGGCTTAGAGAATGAGTGCACGGTTTTATTGAGTGGAAGTAGCTCTCAGCAGATGGGGGAGCCAGAAGGGAGTTGGTTTTCCCCTGGAGTTGAGCCGCTCAGCGGCCCAGGCTGTCCTCCGACTGCCCTGGCCAAACTCCGCATTGTTCTGCTGGTCGATGGCCTGCCAGTGCTAGTGCCTTTAGAATGGTACTTGCCACACAGTACCTACTATAAGTAATTATTCAATGAATTAATGAATCCCTTAACATTCAGATTTTTCAAATAAATTATTCAGCACTTTGCTAAAATAAAAACTCTAGAGATATTCCTGAATATAAAATATATATCTAGCAAGGTTAGGGATATAGGAAATGTTGCTTTACATAACATTGTTTTATTAAAAATATTATTCTTGGCTCACACCTGTAATCCCAGCACTTGGGAGGCAAGGCAGGAGAATTTCTTAAGCCCAGGATTTCAAGACCAGCCTGGGCAACATAGTGAGACCTCGTCTCTTAAAAAAAAATTATTCTTGATTCATCACTTTATTATTTATCCAAACATTTTTCAACTAATTCTCTTTTTTTAAATTGTAAATTGGCAATTTATAATTGTATACATTTATGGGGAACAAAGTGATCTTATAATTTATGAATAACAATGTGGAATAATTAAATCAAGCTAGTTCCCACATCCATCACCTCAAATACTTAACAATTTTTGTGGTGAAAACATTTGAAATTTTATCTCTTCGGTATTTTGAAAAGTGCAATACTGTATTGTTAATTATATTTACCACACTGTGCAATCGAACTCAAAAAAAAAAGAATGAACACATTCATCTCGTTTCTGGGTTAAGTGTTCTGATGGTGAGGTGTCCAGGTCTTGGCACATTGAACAAAGAATTGAACAACACACATGAACAAGCGGTGAAGGAGTGAATTTATGAAAGTGGAAGATAGTGGGCCGGGCGCAGTGGCTCACACCTGTAATCCCAGCACTTTGGGAGGCCGAGACGGGCGGATCACGAGGTCAGGACATCGAGACCATCCTGGCTAACGCGGTGAAACCCCGTCTCTACTAAAAATACAAAAAAATTAGCTGGGTGTGGTGGCGGGCGCCTGTAGTCCCAGCTACTTGGGAGGCTGAGGCAGGAGAATGGCGTGAACCCAGGAGGCGGAGCTTTCAGTGAGCCGAGATCGCGCCACGGCACTCCAACCTGGGCAACAGAGCCAGACTCCCTCTCAAAAAAAAAAGAAAGTGGAAGACAGTGAAGGATCAAAGGCAAAAGTACATTCCACAGGGTGGGAGCGGGCTCAAGCAAGTGATTCAAGAGCCCTGGTAGCAAAGTCTTCTGGGGCTTCAGTACCCTTTAGAGGTTTCTTGTGGGTTACATCCTATGTAAATGAAGGACTGGCTTGTGACCAATTCCACGCCAAGGTGAATTGGCCCATGGCCAATCCAAGACTGGTGTGTTTTGGTGCCTTATGCAAATGAAGGGCCTGGAATAGACCAATCACTGGCCAGAGTGCAGGTACCGGCCTGTGGCCAATCAGAGCCTGATGTGGTTTGGCACCTTATGCAAATGAAGGTCCTGGAATGGACCAATCATAGGTCAGTGTGCAGACTCTTCAGCTCCAGGGAGTCTGTCCAAGTTATCCTTAGATTCCCTATCTCTGGATCCTATTCTCCTGCCTCATTTTCCCCCTGAGAGACATGATCCCTAGAAATCTTTATGGGAGGCAGAGGGACTGATGGTCTTTTCTTTTGTAACTGCTTCCTGCTGATTTAGCACGCTGGCCTTACCTGCTGGGGACCACAGAACTCTCGCCCTGCTTTGTCTTGTGGAGACAGAGTAACCTTTTGACGGCCAGAGGTGGTGCCTTTACCTGGCACTGGCTGGAAACCTTGTCGCACAATCATCTGAAGCTAAATGGTTTCTAGGCAAGAGAAAATGAACTTGGTTAAAAGGTTTAGCAAACATGGGCCAAAGACCAGGGCCAGTATAACCATTAGCAACGGTCTGGCTAGGGGATGGAACCATGACACCCAGCCCAGCACCTTGACCAGGAGCCCCATGATTCCGACAGCTGTTGTATCTTAGCGGCCTGGTCAGCTAGTTTTCAGGTGGCATCCCTTACTATTCCTGATTGGTTGACATAGAAACAGCATTCTTCCTCTAGGAAAAGACATAAGCCTCCCTTCTCAGTGGTTATGAGGTCTAGTCCCCTTCTATTTTGCAAAGTGACCACTGCCAGGGAGCCTATTTGATTTTGTCTGATGACAATACTTTGAGCAATGTCATCCAAGATTTCCATGAAATCAATGGACAAGCCCTGGTAGTAGGATAGGGAAGTTGCCAGCCCGTTAACTCCTGTTCCTATTCCTGCTGTTACTCCCAGCTCTACTAAAAGGGGTATGAGTTGGATGGCTTGCTTGTGTCTGGTGGTTGCAGTCAAAGATACAGTGAGAGATTGGTTATCGGGAGCTATATTAATTTCAGGGGCTAAATAAACAAGTATACAAGTTCCAGTCCAATTGGCAGGTAAACGTAAGTAGGAGCTGGTCCTGCACAGGAAAAATGCTCCCCGTTTTTCAAGACAGAAATTGTTTTCTATGGTGAACATATGGGTTAGTTTGTTATTTTTGCTTTCCCAAGTAGTTAAGGTCCCTGCTAAGGTGGCCCCTGTTGACGACGGGAAGGGGCCTTGCAAAGTTGGGTTGCCCCAGTGGTTTTATTTTCCCAGTGGAGGTAGCTGCTCTTGGCGTCCACCAACAACCACCTGGGAGTATTTTCATAATGGAGAACCAAAAGACAGCTAGAGGTGAATTTCAGGGCTAATGCAGTCTTCCCAAGGAAAAGTGTGGACACAGCTAGGGGGCTTCCCTTAACAGTACTTAGACCGAATATGTTTTAAGATGCCCTTAACTAGGAATGGTTTCCGTGAAAACCATACAGGTTTTCTAAATCATGTAGTTTGGGTAGTTGTGTAATTTACATGATTGTGTGAGGGATTAATCTCCAGAGTGTAGTTGCACTGATTACTCTTCAAGGTCCCCAGGACCTGACTGGACTTTTGGCTCCTTTTGACACAGAGTGTACCTGGAATTCTAGCTCTGTGTGTGTTGATATTGGGCCCTAGATGGGCTTTTCTGAGGATGTAACCCTAGAGAGGTTGCTCTGATAGGACTGCAGGAGGTTTACTGCTCGTCCTGTCATTGTAACCTTTGTCATGTCTGTAATTTGGTTGTATAAGTCATCTAAGTTTATTAGTTTGAAGAGAGTTCCTCCTTTGTAGGCAGGGTGATAAGTCATTTTTTCAAGGGCCCAATATCGTGCTGGGACTGGGATAGCAGTGTACCTGGAGGAGTATGGGGATAAGCAAAGCCAACAATGTTTTTACTAAGGCTAGGCTGGCAGCCAGGCACAGTGGCTCATGCCTCTAATCCCAGCACTTTGGGAGGCCTAGGCGAGCAGATCACTTGAGGTCAGGAGTTCAAGACCAGCCTGGCCAACATGGTGAAAGCCTGTCTCTACTAAAAAATACCCAAAAAACAAAAACAAAAAAACAAGGCTTGGCTGGTGGTGTTTAACAGTCTTTGTGTTAGATTCAAGGTTCTTAGTAAATACTGAGGGTCACCTAATGGTCAGAGGGTAAATCAAGGCCCTGCTGTAGAATTAAGCCAATTCCCAATATGCATGATCCCAGTGTGTGTGGCCTATAGCAAATCATTGTGGGTATGAATGTACCTTTTTGTTATTTTGCTTCCTTTAAGTCCTACAGGATAGGATTCTACTAGGGCAGAGGAAATGATCCTACCTGCTTGGGAAAAGGCAGTTTAATAATGTAAGAAAAACTAGTATTACCCCAACTACCACGAACACACAGAAAAGACACCAAGGAAAGTTAGTAGGCCTTTACTTATCTTTTAGCCATTCTTTTAAACAGGTATTTCAGGTCTTCCACAGGTTCACAGGTATAGTGGCTGGTGGGAGTTCCACGTTCGGGGTCCGGGAACTTCTGGTATGGCAGGCTTGATGCTGGAAAGATGTATCCAATTATCTAACCCTAGTACCTTGACCATGGAAGGTGTGGCCAGCACCACTGAAAATGGTTCCTTCCATTTGGGTTGTAGCTGTTGAGCAGATGATTCCTCTTTCCATGTTTTCACCGGTACCTTACCTCCTGGCCTAATTTTGGGTTGCTGGTTAGTTCCCAGTACAGGGAACCACTGGGTTCCAAACTTTTGTAAATCCTGCTGAAATTGTCCCAGGTTAATTAGGTATTTTACTAAACTGGTTGTTTCTGGATCAGTGATTAGATCATTAGTTAAAGATGGCCTTGCATATAATATTTCATATGGGCTTAGATTAATTTTTGCTTGAGGGGAATTACGGATCCTTAAGAGGGATGTGGGGAGCAAGTCAACCCAAGTCTCTGACATCTCCTGGCACAGTTTAACTAATGCCCATTTTAGAGTTTGATTAGCCTTTTCTACTTTCCTGGAGGATGGAGGCCTCCATGCTGAATGTAAATTTGATCCTGAGGGCCTTAGCAACCCCTTGAGTTATTTGGGAGACAAAAGATAAGCTGTTATTTTGAAGGCTCTGGGGTAGCCCAAACCAAGGGATTATTTCTCTTTCTTTCTTTCTTTCTTTTTTTTTTTTTTTTGAGGCAGAGCCTCACTCTGTTGCCCAGGCTGGAGTGCAGTGTGCTTGGCTCACTGCAGCCCCACCTCCTTGTTTCAAATGATTCCTGTGCCGCAGCCTCCTGAGTAGCTGGGATTACAGGCATGCACCATCGTGCCCAGATAATTTTTTTTTTTTTTTTTCGTAGAGACAGGGTTTCGCCATGTTGCCCAGGCTGGGCTTGAACTTCTGGCTCAGTGATCTGCCTGCCTCAGCTTTCCAAGGTATTGGGATTACAGGTGTGAGACATCGTCCCTAGCCAGATTATTTCTTTTAAGAGAATTTTCACTACTTCATTGGCCTTTTCTGTTCTGGAAGGGTAAGCTTCAACCCAGCTAATAAAGGTTTCTATCAGTACTAGTAAAAACTTGAATCCTTTACAGGCTGGCATATGGGTAAAGTCCAATTGCCAGTCTTACCCTGGGTAAGTTCTCCCTCTTTGGATTGGCTCTGTTAAAGGAGGCACTTTGTTTCCTGGGTTGTTTAATGCACACAGTGAGCAGGCTTGACAGACCTGTTTGGCCATGGAAGCTAGGTTGGATCCAGTGAAGAGCTTGTTTGCCATGGCCAAAGTTGTGTCTCTTCCCACATGGAAAGAGTTATGCAGGGCTTTTATGATTTTCCATTGGGCTGCTTGGGGAAGATTTATTTTTGATCCCTTATACCACCAAGATCCCTGTTTCATTCCTCCTTGTTGTCTTATTAGATGTTCTTCCTGTGAGGTGTACTCAGGTTCTATTGGGGGGTCATAAAAAAGGAGTAGTGCTAAAACTTGTTGAGACTGTACCTTGAGGGCTGCTGCCTTGGATTCCTTTTTGTTCCCTTGTGCTATAGGAGTTAGATTCTTTTGTTGCCCTTTGCAATGAATAATGGCTATGGCCTCTGGCAAATGTTGTCTGCAATAGCTGAAGAATCCCATGTTTTATGGGGGAGTGCTTGCTAGTAAGTAGTCTCCTTTCCAAATTGCAGCATTAGCATGAACCACAAGAAATGCATATTTAGAATCTGCATAGATGTTAGCTTTCTTTCCTTGTCCCAACCTTTATTTATTTATTTATTTATTTTGAGACAGAGTTTTGCTCTGTCGCCCAGGCTGGAGTGCAGTGGTGGTACGATCTCAGCTCACTGAAACCTCCACCTCCCAGGTTCAAGCAATTCTCCTGCCTCAGCCTCCCAAGTAGCTGGGACTACAGGCACACACCACCATGCCCGGCTAATTTTTGTATTTCTAGTAGAGACGGGGTTTCACCATATTGGTCAGGCTGGTCTTGAACTCCTGACCTCAGGTGATCCACTTGCCTCGGCCTCCCAAAGTGCTGGGATTGCAGGCGTGAGCCACTGCGCCAGCCTCTTGTCCCAACCTTAATGCTTGAGTAAGAACAATGATCTCAGCCTTTGTGTCAATGTGCCTGGGGGCAGTAGCTGGACTTCAAAAATGGTGTAATTCACTATTGCATATCCAGCTTGGTGCTCCCTGTTTAGCACAAAGCTGCTGCCGTCTATAAACCAGTTATCCACAGGGTCTGGAAGAGGCTGTTCTAAAAGATAAAAGAGGCTGGCTCCCATATCTGTGTACAATGATTTGCTCACAGGAATGATTGGTTATGGTGCCCATAGGTAGCAGTGCAGCTGATGATATGGTTTGGCTGTGTCCCCACCCATATCTCATCTTGAACTGTAGCTCCCATAATTTCCATGTGTCATGGGAGGGACCCTGTTCCCAGAACCAAGCTGGGTCTGGCTGCGTTTTCTCAAGGCCCAATAAGGAGAAGCAGACAAACTAGGAAAGAATGGAATTTATTGATATAACTGGATACAGGGAGAAGGCCAGAGATAATTCCACCAGACCAACCCAAAGTGTTACAATTTTCTTAGTGCATGTATAGGTTGGGGTTATGTGCCTACGTGCAGTATAGCATTCACCTAAGTCTATTTGTAGCTAATTTTGTTTCAACTAGAAGGACAGAAGCAAAAAATGCTTGCTAAGTTTGATTAAAAGGGCCCCAGAACCTTCAAGGCCTGTCTACTGTGGTACCAGAGTGATTATTTCTATCTTATCTCCTTTGCAGCTTGGTCCAGAGAGCTGCCTTAGACTCTCTAATGAATCTATTCACACAGCTGCCACCATTACCTTGAACTGTCTCAGATTCCGTCAACCCGAGATGGGTCCTAGCACTAGGAATGTAAGACTGTCTCTATTATTTTGACTTGCTCCGGGTTAGGGAGAAACCTACTGACCATATGACATATGTTTCATTTCTAGCTTTGATGTCTGGGCACCAGTTTCCCTAGGCTTAACTATTTGCTAAATGTTAAGGCAGTGCTGTGGAAATCTGTCAGTGTAACTGGAGTGCTATACAGGCCTGTCTGTGTGATTGTCAGGGAGAATTGGCCTGCCACAACCCAGTGGGAGGTAATTGAATCATGGGGGTGGGTCTTTCCCGTGCTGTTCTCATGATAGTGAATCAGTCTCACTAGATCTGATGGTTTTATAAAGGAGAGTTCCCCAGCACACACTGTCTTGCCTGCTGCCATGTAAGACATTACTTTGCTTCTCCTTTGCCTTCCACTAGCCATGATTGTGAGGCCTCCCCAGTCATGTGGAACTGTGAGTCAGTTAAACCTCTTTCCTTTATAAATTACCCAGTCTCAGGTATGTCTTTACTAGCAGCATGAGAACAGACTAATAGAGCTGGGTTTAAGGTGTTACAGGTCTTAATTGTGATCTCTGGATTATCTAGGAGTGCCACCTCGTATTTAATCTTTCTCCTGTCATCCAGATATGTCCTTTTATTTCTAGGACTGGTGGGGAGTTGTGGCTGGTCTAGAGTAATTTTTGTTTATTTATTTATTTGTTTATTTTTGAGGCGGAGTTTTGCTCTTGTTGCCCAGGCTGGAGTGCAATGGTGCGATCTGGGCTCACCATAACCTCCGCCTCCCGGGTTCAAGCAATTCTCCTGCCTCATCCTCCCAAGTAGCTGGTATTACAGGCATGTGCCAGCACCCCCGGCTAATTTTGTATTTTTAGTAGAGACAGGGTTTCTCCATGTTGGTCAGGCTGGTCTCCAACTCCCGACCTCAGGTGATCCGCCCACCTTGGCCTCCCAAAGTGGTGGGATTACAGGCATGAGCCACCACACCTGGCCAGCCTATAGTAATTTTAATAGCTTCTTCAACCAAAATAGCAGTGGCTGCTATTGCCTGCAGGCAGCTGGGCCACCTGGTGGCTACTGTCTTATTTCTTTGAAAAGTATGCAACAACTGGGCACAGTAACGCACGCCTGTAATTCCAACATTTTGGGAGGCCAAGGTGGGTGGATTGCTTGAGATCAGGAATTCAAGACCACCCTGGCCAACATGGTGAAACCCGGTCTCTATTAAAATACAAAAATCTGCTGGGGCATGGTGGTGACAGGCACCTGTAATCCCAGCTAGTTGGGAGTCTGAGGCAGGAGAATGACTTGAATCCAGGAGCTGGAGGTTGCAGTGAACCAAGATTGTGCCAGTGTACTCCAGCCTGGGAGACAGAACAAGACTCCATCTCAAAAAAAAGAAAAGTATGCAATGGGCCTAGGCTCTGTTCTCAACTTCTGAGTAAGCACTCCCACAGCTATGCCTTTCTTTTCTGCTACATACAGGAAGGGCTTGGTGAGGTTTGGAATGCTGAGTGCACGAGCCTGGCTGAGAGCCCGTTTTAACTTGGTGAAAGTCTCCCTCATTTCTAGGGTTCATTCCATTGGCTCATCTTAAGGTCCCCTTGTTGCCTTGTAAAGGGGCTTTGCTATGTGCCCGAAATTTGGGATTTGTATCCTATAGAATTCAGCCATTCCAAGTGAAGCTGCTGCTTGGCCTGTGAATTAATTTTGGTGCCCATGACATCCAGAGTTACCCAGGGATCCTAAGTGGTAGTGATGATGTCCCTGGGTCCCATGAGTCTTCATCTGATCCCTCCTTATGTGCTGCTAGAGTTTTGACTGATGGAGCCCCTTGGTGGGAGCAGGGGCAGTCAATTATCCAGTGCCAGAGGTCACGACTGGTGCCCTCACATTGGCAGCACAGGCCCTGCGTGGGCTTAGTGCAGTACTTTGCCTAGTGCCCACTTTTCTTGCACTTGTAACCAGAGCTTTTGCCGGCATTGTCCTTGGGACCCTTTGGGTTTTCCTTGGATGACTTTTGGGCATTTAGGGCATCACCAGTGACAGTTGCCATAATTTTGGCTGTTTTTCTTTAGTGTATTCCCTTTCCACTTCCTCCAGATCACGTTTGTTATATACCATGCAGGTGGTATCAATAAGCTGATTTTGATTAGTTTGTGGTCCCATGTGTAGCTTCTGGATTTTATGCCTAATGTCCAGGGCAGCTTGGCTAATGAAATCCTGTGCCATTAGTACTTTGCCTTCAGGAGGGGGAGGGTCCAGGTTGGTGTATTTTTTAAAAGCCTTTTCCAATCCACTATAAAATATAGCTTTCCTCCTTAACCTGTGTAATTTCCCTTAATTTACTGCCTTAGTCATTTCCTTTCTCATTCCTCCCAGGTGAGCTTCAAGGAATTTGGCTGGGTTGTTCATTCCCATAGGGGTGTTATAGTTCCAGTTACAGTCAGTGATGGGGACTGTATCTGGGCCCAGGCAATTGCCCTCGGAGTTTCCGGCAAACAGCTTGTTTGCTTCACGTTGGGCGGCCTCAGAAATACATTCTTTCTCCAGAGGAGTGCAACAAGTTGCCAGGATACATTGAACATCTTTCTGTGAGAGATCGAAGGCTAAGGTTAAAGTTTGGAAGCCGTCTGCAAATCTCCTGGGGTTCTCAGAATAAATTCCTAACTTATCCTTTCATTGCTGTATATCAGTTATGGAGAAGGGGGCCTCCACTTAGATTAGCCCCTCAACTCCTGCTACTTCCCTTGGGGGAAATAGAGCTGGACAGGGAATTGAATAAGGTGTTCCCCTGGAAGTGTGTGGGGGAACTTAGTGGAGTTTCCGGCTCCTGTTCCTGGGTTTGATCCTCAGGAGCACTTGGCAAGGGGTTGTATGGAGGTGGTTACAGTTCCCCCTAAGAAACAGTGGCCCTTGCAGAAAGGGGTCATCTATAACATCTGGTTCTACTTTAGGAATTTTTTCTCTTTGAGGGCAAAATTTGGAAGCCTTACAAATTGAAGGGTTTTGGTGCAGGGCCATAAAGGCTTAAACATGGTATTTCTGACCATTTACCCTGCCTTTTACAAAATAAGTCTAATTGCAGGATAGTGTCATGACTGAGACTCCTATTGACTAGCCATTGCTCCTGGCTATCTAGAGGATACTGGGGCCAAACAGTATTACAGTAAAAAAAACAAATGTTTCCCTACTATATTGTCAGGGTTAAATTGGTTCCAATTATTGAGGATGCAGCTGAGTGGGGAGTCAGGTGGTATGGATGGAGTATTTCCTATTGTTGTTTGTAAGAGAGAAAAAGTTCTGAGGAGGGTTTAATACTAGACCTCAGAACCTCCATCTAGGGTCTTCCCCTTCAGAGAGGTTGTGGCCTAGGATTGGATCTCCCAAGGAGTCCCCCTTTGGGGTCCAATCTTAGAGTGTCAGACATCTCTGACCTTAGGTGGGCACCAGTGCTGCTTTGAATGCTTTCCCTTCATAGACAATGGCCTAGTATGATTCCCTTCGTTCTTGGATATGGTTCTTGGCTTTTGGCATCCTTGTAGCTGGCCACAATAGTTTCTTCCCAAATGGTTTCCTTAACCATTGTTGTAAGTACAGTTTGAAGGGCAAGGGATGGCAGACTGCCTAATTTAAACTTGTTGGAGACTGGCCTCTCAATAAGGGAGCATGGTGCTCTCTGACTGTACCAGATAAACCAGGAGCAGAGATTACCCCATGGATCCACTGTGCAATTTATACAGTGATCCAAGAGTCTCCACCAGGATTCTTCTCTTAGTACCAGATCTACTAAACTCAAATGATCTAGAAGTGGTCCCTTACAAAAGAAGCACAGCACTTTCCCTATCCAAGTGGTTGGTCCCTAACCTTTAGGCTAATGTTTGCTGTTGGAGCCTCCATAGTCAGTTACCTATTGCCCTGGCCCTTTGGGTTTGGGGTACATCTCTAATTGGTCTAAACATGTTATCCCAACACAAGCAGCAAATAAATATAATATTATAGTCACAAAAACATGCACCTCATGGCGGTAGGGATTTATCTTGTGCCCCTATTTGTTGCATTCCCTGACAGGCTGACTCTACGAGGGAATTTTAGCATAAGAAAAGGAGGGTTAAAGGCACCTGAAATGTTTATGTATTCACCCTGGACAAGCCGCCACTGCCAGTTGCATCACATGTAGGGCTCAGGAACTATAACCAGGAAAGATAGAAAAGAATCCCACTTCCAGGCCGGGCAGCTAACCCCACTCACTCTTTGGCTTTCAGGCAACACTGGAGAGTGGCCTGGGCCAGTTGCCCTCAATTACCAACGAGCTACTGGGAAATGGCTGCTGAAGGACTAAAAAGAAAAGGACTCAGGACCCCACCTGAAGCAGGCGATGATGGTTAGGTGCTTACACACGGAAACCTTTCAGTCTCACCAGACAGTGGCCCTAGCAAGAGACCTGCAGTTGTCTCTGTGCTTAGAATGCTGCCTGCCAAGGGTCCCAAGTTGGAAAAGGGAAAGAAAGAGAAGGGGAGAGACAGAGAGAGTCCCATGTGGAGTTTAGTTCCAGCCCATGGCCACAAATGGAATCTCAATAGAATAAAAGAAAATAAATCCCCAAATTTAGGCTTACCTCCTGACTGGCTTGCCAAAATATGTTACTAGGTTAAGGGTTCTGATAATGAGGTGTGCAGGTTCTTGGTGTGTTGAACAAAGAATTGAGCGACATGCATGAATGGGTGGTGAAGGAGTGGATTTATTGGAGCACAAGGCAGTGAAGCAGCAAAAGTGAAAGTACATTCCACAGGGTGGGAGTGGGCTAGAGCAAGTGGCTCAAGAGCCCTGGTAGCAAAATCTTCTGGGGCTTAAGTACCCTGTAGAGGTTTCTTGATGGTTACACCCTATGTAAATGAAAGACTGACTCACAGCCAATTAGAGACTGAGGTGAATTGGCTCACAGCCAATCCAAGACTGGTGTGGTTTGACTCCTTATGCAAATGAATGTCCTGGAATGAACCAATCATTGGCCAGAGTGCAGGTCTGGCCCATGGCCAATCAGAGGCTGATGTGGTTTGATACCTTATGCAAATGAAGGTCCTGGAATGGACCAATCACAGGCCAGTGTTCAGACTCTTCAGTGCCAGGGAGTGTGTCCAAGTCATCCTTAGATCCCTATCTCTGTACCCTATTCTCCTGCCTCAGTCTTGTGTGAGATTTTGCACCCTTTGACCATCATCATCATCTCCCCATTCCCCCAATCTCTCCCTCAACTACTTCTAACCACTATTCATTAATCTCTTGTATTATTTAGGTGTAAGGAAGAACAGAAGGATCCAAGTGTGAGAAAGCCCACCCTGAGTCTCTCAGAGGTGATTATGACTGTGTGAGCATGGGTGAGACAAATCCTCTGTTGTTGTTGATGGCTACTTGAAGTGCTTCCTCCATTCTTTCCATTGTAGAATACTTAGGGAGGGAGAGAATATTATGACAAGTTATTGATGTTGGGTGATCTCTTTCACTGAAAGTTTCAGGACAGCGAAATACTATTTCCATTTTCTGTATGCCTCTTGCATGCAGCCTATCACGTCCTGTAAGGAAAACTAGAAAGGAATAAAATTTGGTTAAGATATTTCATAGAAAGAGTAAAACATAATGAAAAGGAAGAAATTAATCACTTCATTCAGTAAGTATTTATTGAATGTCCTTAGGCAGAGAGAACTGTCCTAGACCATGTTGAATGTATAAAAATCATGACATTTGGTCTTTGTCCTCAATGAGTTCATGGTGTAGTTGGGGGAAAATTATATGCATGAAAAGATAGTAGCAAGAAGGAAGTTTATTTAGCTCATCTAGGAAGAATGAGGTTAGGAGCTTAAAGGATTCAGCAGGGAGAGAAACACCAGGCTGAGTGGTCAGAGAGACTTCACAGAGGTCACACCAGGCTATTTCTCAAGACAGGATTTGGCTGAGCTTTCAAGGCAGGGGACAAAGCTCAGGAAAAAGCCACAGGTGGGAAGAAGTGAACTCATGGGGTGTACAGACAGCTGAACCACTGGGCTGAATCAAAAGTTTCCCATTAAGAGAGAAGATTAGAAAGGCAGCTTGGGCTTATAGAGAAATAGGTTGGATCTGTGGACAAGTTGGAATTGTCCTCCAGCATCCTTAGTAGCAACAAAAATATCAAGAAGAAAGATGTGTAACTCAGGAAGAGCTGACAAATGGGATGAGATGGTGAGAGAAGTCATTAAGTCTGCCCTAGAGAAACCTTAGGGTTCCCACCAAGAGAAGTTCTTATACCATGAGGCTACAGAGCTTAGTGCTCAAGAGCCTGGGCTTTGGAGTCAGCCTGATGGATTCTATTCTGGTTCCCATACTTACCAGCTGTCTGAACATGGGCAAGCTACTAAATGCTCCAAGCCTCTTTTTCCTCATGTCTGAAACGGGGAAAAAAGAATAGTACCTACCTCGTAGGGTTGCTGTTAGGAAAAAGGTAGGTAATAGATACAAAGCAGTCAGCATAGTGCATGGCACAGAATAAGCACACAGTAAATGCTGCTGCTGCTATTATTATCATCAGTTGTTGTTGCCATTATTATTTCTAAATGATATATTACTATAAAACAGATAGTTGGCATCATTCGAACATCATAGGACTTAGATAATTAGATGAAGATAGGAACATGAGATAAAAGGCTTAGGAGCCAGCTGAAGTGAGGAAAGAGGGTGCAGAAAAAGTCAGTGTAGAAAAAGTAGTAAATTAGCAAATCTCTACTTAAAAAAAAAAAGAAACAGGCTTGAGTAAGAGAAAGAATGCTGGTCTAGAAGGTAGGGAGCCTGGGTTCTCATCCTTGCTCTGCCACTAACACATGTGACCCACCTGCAAGAATGGTGATACAGAGATAGAAAATTATTTTAGGCAGATAGTGAGGGCAAAAGAGTCCTCAGCAGAACTTCCCTTCTAACAAAAAGCAGTCCAAGAAATCACTTCTTTTCTAACAAAGAGCAGCCTGGAATATCGGGCTGCAAACATAGATAAGAAGGCTGGAAGCTAGCACGGGGGAATGCCAGCAGCTCCACCAATAGAAAGGGCAACCTGGGACCAGGCATGTCCACCATGGGGGTTCCACCTCCCCCCTTTTTTAGCACATGCACAGTAAGAAAGAAGCACCATGGAGTAGCTACCCACCTGTATAATCAAAGATTGGGGTAGGGGCTGCCAGAGATTCGTGCCCTATGCGGATGGTACACCTGGTCCTAACTCGTTTTTCATGCCCTATGTAGATCAGACACCACCTCCTCACTAGCTCATCTATAAAAAACCCTGCATTTCACCACAGATCAGCAACTCATTTTTCTGGGACCCCTCTCTGTAGCAGAGAGCTATTCTCTTTTCGCCTATTAAGTTTCTGCTCTATACCTCACCCTTTGTGTGTGTCCATGTCCTTGATCTCCATGGCTGTGAGACAAAGAACCTTGGGTGTCACCCCAGACAATGAGGCCACTTCAATGGCTTCATTCTAAACAAGACTGTACCTTTTTAAAAGATACATAATTATGTGTCCATCTAGTACCACAGTACTTACAGAGGAATTTTTTCTTTTCATCCAAGGTTAGTTTGTGGAAAGCCTTCCAAAACAACTGTATAGTAGGATGTGATTTTTGGTATCCTTGCTCATACTTTGAATTCTTGAGAGAAAGAGGGAGAAAAATGATTTGAGTGGGGTGGAATATATAGAAGTTGTTCGGAAAAATTGGGGCACTTTAGGTATCACCTACCTGTTCAAACTGTTTCCAGTCATAATCAGTATTTCCAATGATTGCTGTCATTAGTTCTTCAGGGTAGAAATGTCTAAGTATCTCCTTCTCACAGACTCTATAAAATCCTCTCTGAAATTCCTCATAAACTGCTTTTACAGAGACGTTGAAAATGTAATCAATATACTTAGAAACATAGTCTCTCCTTGAGGGAAGCAAAAAAAAAAAAAAAAAAAGAAAGGAAGGAAAAGGCCAATGATTAAAAGATTTTATACTTTGTTCTTTTTACTATTTCTATTGAGAAGGAAAAGTAAATTACTTCTATATAGCACAAGAATGTTGTATTGTGACCAAAACCTGGTCAGCTAGAAGAAAGAAATTTAGAAAATATAATCAGAAGGTTTAAAACTATTTGGCTCACTTTCCTCACTGCAGTCAGGAGGATTTTTTTAAAACATGAATCTGAATATGTCATTCTCTTGCTTAAAGTCTTTCAAAGGCTTCCCATTGCCCTTGGGGTAAATTCCAAACCTCCTTAGCAGGGATCAACAGGCCTTCCCAAGCCTAGCTCCTCCCTCAATTATCTGACCTTGCCAGTCTCAGCAAGGGGCCTCTTCCCACTTCCATTTTCTTTCTTTCTTTCTTTCCTTTCCCTTCCCTTCCCTTTCCCTTTCCCTTCCCTTTTCTTTCTTTCTTCTTTCTTTCTCTTTCCTTTCTTTTTCTTTCTTTTTTTTAAGAGATGGGGTCTCCCTGTGTTGCCCAGGCTGGACTTGGACTCCTGGCCTCAAGCGAACCTCCCGCCACAGCCTCCTGAGTAGGTGAGACTGCAAGTATGCACCATGGTGCCCAGCTCCCACTTCCATTTTCACTTCTGGCCCCGTTCATAGGTCTTGTCTCTCTTTTGTAGTTAGGCCACAGAATGCAGCATTTCTTCTTTACCTGATAACTTCTACCATCCATTAGATTTCAATATAAGTAAGACTTTCTCAGGGTTGATCCTTTTGTTCCTTTGCTTGTCCCCTCTCACAACACATGTCACTTTGTGAAAATTATTCCTGCAAGGTCTGTCTTATACTACAGGATGTAATTTCTACTAAATGATTAATTTCCTGATGGCAGGGTTGCTACTGGAGGCATTTCCATCAGAGACATGATTGTCTCCCACACTTTGGGCAGCCTTTGTGGACTAGCCTATCTAAATCAACTCTTGTCTGCCTTCCCCTGTAACCATTGGTGTGCTGGTAAATATCTAACAACCAGCTCTCTGAAAAGGAGTGGGAGGGGAGGGGACACACATTTGCAGCATTGGCGAATTTCTGTGGTGTTAATATTCCCACTGTGGCTGATTTTCAGCTACTAATACTTTGATAATAAACTCTTAACATTTTTGAAAATTTAACAATCAGCTCTCACAAGCTGGTACTAGTGAGCTCCAGCATACCACCACCTGGAACTCCCTAGTTTCTTAATCAGTTTTAATTTTCTTCAGAGTGCTCATCCTTATCTGACATTATATTACATAATAATTCATTTGTGGCCAGGTGCGGTGGCTCACCCTTGTAATCCCAGTACTTTGGGAGGCTGAGGTGTGAGGACTGCCTGAGCTCAGGAATTCGAGACCAGCCTGGGCAGCATGGCAAGACTCCATCTCTATTAAAAATAATAATGATTCATTTGTGTATTGTCTTTCTGCCCCACTGGAATTTAAGCTCCAAATTTTGTCTGTCTTTTTGACTACTGTATCTCCAGCACCTAGAATAGAGTCTGGTACAGAATAGGGGCTCAAAAATATTTGCTAAATGAATAAATAGTAAAAAGAGCTACAAAGGAAATATTGAACCCTGAATTCTTTCTCCTTTTCTTTTATCTTAAAAGCTTCTTTTTTCTAAAAGATTAGGAGCTAAAACAATCACCTGAGAAGCTAAAATGCTTTTTTTTTTTTTTTTTTTTTTTGAGACACAGTCTCACTCTGTTGCCCAGGCTTGAGTGCAGTTGCGCAATCCCGGCTCACTGCAACCTCCACTTCCTGGGTTCAAGCAATCCTCAGCCTCCTTAGTAGCTGAGACTACAGGCATGTGCCACCACACCTGGCTAATTTTTGTAGTAGAGACGGGGTTTCGCCATGTTGGCCAGGTTGGCCTTGAACTCCTGACCTCAAGTGATCCACCCACCTCAGCCTCCCAAATTGCTGGGATTACAGGTGTGAACCATATTTAAAAATACATTTTAAAAGAATAGTGATACAACATTTTATGTACAGTATATTCAAAACAGATATTCTAGCTGTCAAAACTTACTTGTTGGTTTGGTCCACAGGTATGGAGATCCCATTTGGAATTAAGTCAACATCATTTTGGTCCCAGTGTATCTGTAACCAAAATGTATTCAGGTACCAAATATCAAAGTAAGTTTGAATAATCAACCACCCATAATATCTTTATTGCCAATACATTTTCCCCTATGTAACTGAAAATAACTTGGAGCTAAATAATTTTTTATGTAGTTCAGCCTTTTAAATACATGTGAAAGCAAAAAAGCCTACCCTAGTACATGTTGTACATTACTTTCATGCCTAAATTATCGTTTAGTTGTTAAATTATTTACACTAGTTGAATAATCACCATAGCTTCACTTTATTTGAGAGTATATAGACATGAGAAGAAGATAAGGGGAAAGTCTTGCGGTACAGAAATAAAATGTCTTTTAAAAAAGGGATCCCAGGGGCCAGGCACAATGGCTTATCCCTGTAATCCTAGCACTTTGGGAGGCTGAGACAGGTGGATCACTTGAGGCCAGGAGTTAGAGACCAGCCTGGCCAAGATAGCAAAAACCCATCTCTACAAAGAATACAAAAATTAGCCAGGCATGGTGTCGCATGCCCATAATCCCAGCTACTCAGGAGGCTGAGGTAGGAGAATCACTTGAACCCAGGAGGCGGAGGCTGCAGTGAACCGAGATCGCGCCATTGTACTCCAACCTGGGTGACAGAGTGAGACTCTGCCTCAATAAAAAAAAAAAGGGATCCCAAATTTAAGATACTATAATAAAAATTATTTTTTAGAAACAGATTAAAGCTAAACTATAATTTGGCTTTCATTAGTACTCACAGAAAAGCGTATGCAGAGCGCATCTCCAATGTCATCAGCAGCATCATCTAGAACTTCTTGCAAACTCCTAATGAAGATTTTGGTTTTAAAAATTATATTTATTGATCTTATAAAGTTTCACAAGTAATTTTCAATGGAAAAAGTTGTGAACAATATAGAAATGTATAAAATATAATATAAATTTCCTATCCTCCATCTTCTCATTCCCTTTCCCTAGAGTTTGCCTCTATTTACAGTTTGATTTGTTGGACCATTGTTACTACATAGACACTGCTACATCTTCATGGAAATTACAAAAATGAGCTGTTTCCTCTAGACAGTGATTCTGAATCAGGGATGACTTTGTCCCCTAGGGGTCATTCAGCAAAGTCTGGAGACATCTTTGGTTGTCACACTTGGAGGGAAGGTTGCTACTGGCATCCAGTGGGTGTGACCCCAAATGCTGCTAAACATCCCACAATGCCCAGGACAGTCTCCCACAACAAAGAATTAAACAGGCCAAAAGGTCAGTATTGCCAAGGCTGAGAACCCCTGCTCCAGCACACATCTAGCCAATATATTCTCACACTAACAGTACACGAGAAGAGAGTCCTTTCCCCCAATTTTTTGCCAACACTGTAAGAAAAACTTTTTAACAAGTGTCAATCTGTAAGTAGAAAAATGATATCTCATTTTTATTTATTCCCTCAATTACTAGTTAGGGTGAGCATATTTTCAGTTTTTTTATTAGACTTACATGCACACAAACACACACACCCTTGTATAGTCATAAATATTTATATGTGTGATGATGCACATATATATTGTGCTCTCTGAAGCAACTGTTTCCACCTGGATAAAGTCAAGAGACCAGGCCAGAACTCCTGTTTCTTCCACTTGTTAATAATTAGAGGAACACTCAGCTTTCCTCCATTTTGAAGGTTTACTCAATTATAAATCATGCTAAAATTCAAATTCCTCTCAAGAGCATACATTATTGAAATTGAAGACCATATCTGTCTCTCTGTGTGTAAGATTATTTATGCCTAAACAACTGAGACTTACTAGATACGGTCCTGAAAAAACGTTATATTTACTTACTTCCCCAACCGAGGACTGAGTTCTTTTAAATCTTCCAATGATGGCTTTTGGTCCAGAAGTTTTTTATACAGAGCCAGTGGGAAAGGAAGGTTAGCAACATTTAAATTGAATAAGGAGAGTCCACACAGCATTCCAAAGAGGAAATATCTTTTCTTCTCAGGTTTAGGCTAGAAAAGAAGAAAAAAATCCCTAAGGTATTATAAATAATTAGTAATACAAAGGGATAATTAGATTAGTAAAAAAAAATGTGGTTCCCTTTTCTGAAAGTCAAAAATTAAAAACAAAATGGGCTTCCGGAAAATAAAAATGTGAAGTTCTTCTACAGATTATAATACATTAAATTTCTTCCATAATTTTGAATACAAATTGATAGTTCAGAACATTAAATAAATGAATTCATTTTATCTGGAACGTTAAAAAATATGCTCAGACAGCTTTATATATTCAGGTTTTCACAATTTAATTTTATAGTCTTTCCCTTCAGATTCATGTAGAATAATGACACTGAGAAAGGAAGGGTGCACTTTATACATTTATTGGTCACCAGGCATATTAGATGAGCCTCGCATGAGTGGCAGCCCCTTTGGCAATGCAGCCCCACAACTTGGGTGTGCTTAGAGGGATGAGCATATGGGTCAGGGAGGGTGACTGACGCTAGGGACCAAGAAGGTAGGTAGAAGAAAGAAGGGGAAGAAGGAAAGAGGCCTGGTGAAGTTGGCATGTCTTGTCTGCACTTGTAGTCCTTGGTGAGAGAAAACACTGGCTCCATCTATCCAGGCCATGATTGCAGCACAGTAGATCAACAGCCTGAAAATTTTGGGATTCAATTCCAATGCCAACCTTACTGTTAGTGGGTGCATGACTTTGGGCCACTCACGTAATATTCTATGGTACAGTCTAGTTGCCATATTTATTTATTTAATTGTGAAAATAAATTCTAAAATTGCATTTAAATTTTGAAAGTAAGTTCTAAGTACAATACAAGTAATCGACAAAGGGGTCCCCTGAAACCTAATCAGTCTTCTTTCCCATAATTTGTAATATGTCCCTTGGTTATAGCTGATTTCATCTCTTCACTGAGCCATACACAAATCAGGGTGTTTTGTTTTGGTTTTTTTTTTTTTTTGTCTCTGTTTTTTATCCAGCAGTATAGCATAATGCTTAAGAGTAAGAGCTCTGGGATTAGACAATCCTGAACTCATATCCTGGCTTGATCACTTACTAGTTTTCTGTCATTGGCTGATTTATTTAATCTCTCTAAACCTCAGTTTCTTCATCTGTACCTCATAAGGTTGGTACCTCCTCTCCATCCCCAACCTGTGTCTCTTTAGTTCATTTCATCCCATCTCCTCTCCATCCCCAACCTGTGTCTCTTTAGTTCATTTCATCCCATTCCTTAACCTTCAACCTCAGGCCTTCGCCTCTCCATTATACTTTCAAATGCAATCACTTCAGTCCCCTCTTGATTTCTTTCTCTCCTAACCAAGAATCCCTTAAGTTTGTATAGTGCCCTAAAGCCTTCATGGTACTTTCAGATACCTTACTTTGTTTTGTTTTCACAATAGCCCTGCAAAGCAGGCAGAGCAGAAATTATGACGTCCATTTTCTAGGTGAGGAAACCGAAATCTCAGAGAGGCTAAATGACACACTCACCATCACTGAAGATTAGAACTCTAGGCTTCTGATCCCACATCAGTGCTTCCTTCCCCATCCTGTCATGCTTCTCAAAAACTATTACATATTAAGTCAGCAATCTATAACTTAGAGCCAATTGGTAAAGTTTCTGGTGTGTTGATCCTATTGCTACAACTACATCTATAGAGTTTCAGGAGGAAAGGGATTATGTCATGTAATAATTTGAATATCCCACAATATTTAATACAATGTAGGAACCTCAAGAAACATTAAATAAATGCTTGCTGATTGACCAACAAAAAATCATACCATTGGCACACCTTAGCCATTCCTATATTTTAGAGGGTCCATTTGTTCTCGAAAAGATACAAAACACCTTTCAGTATTTTTTCACATGTATTCATCTTTCTCCTCCTCCTGCCTGTCCTTTCTGCCATTTGGAAGAACAATTTGGAAGTTTATGGGAAAGGGGACTAATAAATATGCCTTAGTTCATTTTCTGTTGCTTATAACAGAATATCTGAAACCGGGTAATTTATAAAGAAAAGGAATGTATTTCTTAGAGTTCTGGAGGCTGGGAAGTCCAAGACTGAGCAGTTGTATCTGGTGAGGGCCTTCTTGCTGATGAGAACTCTGCAGAGTCCTGAGGCTGCACAGGGCATCACATGGTGAGGGGGCTGAGTGTCCTAGCTCAGGTTTCTCTTCCCCTTCTTACAAAGCCACCAGTTCCACTCCCATGATAACCCATTAATCCATTACTCATTAATCCATGAGTGGATTAATCTATTCATGAGGGCAGAACTCTCATGACCCAAGTACCTCTAAAGGACACCTTTTCAAGGCTACCACATTGGGGATTAAGTTTTAACATGAATTTCGGGGAGGGTGGGGCATTCAAACCATAACACAATAGAAGCTCAACATGTGATTCTTTTTAGAACTGTAATCTGAAAATCCAAAATCTGAAATGCTCTAAAATCGGAAACTTTTTGAGTGCCAACATGATGCCACAAGTGGGAAGTTCCACTCATAAGTATTTAATACGAACTTTGTTTCATGCACAAAATTATTTAAAATATTGTATGAAATTACAATTTCATACACAGATTAAATGATCTGTGTTACTAATACAGAAATGAAGACAAATTTTTTTGTTACTTTTCTTTTTTGAGATGGAGTCTCGCTCTGTCACCCAGGCTGGAGGGCAGTGGTGCGATCTTGGCTCACTGCAACCTCTGCCTCCCAGGTTCAAGCAGTTCTCCTGCCTCAGCCTCCCGAGTAGCTGGGACTACAGGCTCGTGCCACCACACCCGGCTAATTTTTTGTATTTTTAGTAGAGATAGGGTTTCACCATGCTAGCCAGGATGGTCTCGATTTCCTGACCTGGTGATCCGCCTGCCTCAATTTTTTTGTTACTTTAAGAAAGAAAATGTTTATACTTTAAGGACCTTTACAAAAATATAATAATTACAGACATGAATCACCTTTTTTATTTTTCTTTTTTCCTTTTTAAGCACCTTTTATTTTTGAAACAGAGTATCACTCTGTCGCCCAGGCTGGGGTGCTATGGCGCAATCTCAGCTCACTGCAACCTCTGCCTCTTAGGTTCAAGTGATTCTCCTGCCTCAGCCTCCCAAGTAGCTGGGATTACAGGCACGCACCACCACACCTGGCTAATTTTTGTATTTTTAGTAGAGACAGTGTTTCGCCAGGTTGGCCAGGCTGGCCAGGCTGGTCTCGAATTCCTGACCTCAAGTAATCCCCCCACCTCGGCCTCCCAAAGTGCTGGTATTACAGGTGTGAGCCACCGCACCTGGCCATGAATCACCTGTTTTTGTTTTTCTTTTTTTTTTTTTGAGCCGGAGTCTCAAAAAAGGGATACTGAGATTCTGCTCAGTATCCCTATGTGAAAGGCTTGGGACCAGCAGTGTTTCAGATCTCAGAGTTTTTCAGACTTGGAACATTTGCATAAACACAGTGAGATATCTTGGGGATAGGACCGAAGTCTAAACACAAAATTCATTTATATTAATAGTTCGTATACACCTTATACACATAGCCTGAAGGTAATTTCAAACAATATTTTAAATAATTTTGTGCATGAAACAAAGTTCGTATTAAATACTTATGAGTGGAATTTCCCACTTGTGGCATCATGTTGGCACTCAAAAAGTTTCCAATTTTAGAGCATTTCAGATTTTGGATTTTCAGATTACAGGATGCTCAGCATGTACTACAATTTGTTTACCTGCTCTCCTACTGATGGATATGTAGGTTATTTCCTAAATTTTGAGAAGCAGTAATCTAAAGTGTTTTAAATTAGGACAGAAATGACTGATAGAATCCTAGAGATAATTTTTCATTCTTAAAAGGTGATTCAGCTGAGCGTGGTGGCTCACACCTGTAATCCCAACACTCTGGGAGGCCAAGGCAGGTGGATCACTTGAGGTCAGGAGTTTGAGACCAGCCTGGCCAACATGGCAAAATGCCGTCTCTACTAAAAATACAAAAATTAGCCTGGTGTGACATACGCCTGTAGTCTCAGCTACTCAAGCAATCCTCCCACCTCAGTGTCTCAAAATCCTGGAATTACAGGTGTGAACCACCAGGCTGAGCCAAGCTGGACACCTTAAATATATGCAGTTTATTATTTCTCAAGTATAATTTATTAAAACCATTAAAAATGTAACGTGCATGTGAATCACCTAAGGATCTTATAAAATACATGCTCTGATTCAGTAGGTGTAGAGTAGGGCCTCAGATTCTGCTTTTCTAACAGCTCCCCAAGTGACGCCATAGCTGCTGCTCTGTGAACCATACGAGTACTACTCAAAATATGAGTAGCAAAGCTCTATATGACCTAATTTTACACCACTATCTATGGTGTTAATGTTGCAGTATATGGGGTGCCTTTTCTGTTCTGGGGGAAAAAAAAAAAAGAAAAGACTTACCTTGGCAGGAAACCACATGCAGGAACCCATTTCAGGATACATGAACATTCCATATTCTGGCTTGGTCATCTCTTCAAACATACAGTGGAAGAACTCTGAACTAACCCCTCCAGACTCAGGACAAATTTCATTAATAAATTCAACCTAAGGAAAGAGAACATAGTCCCAGATCCTGACTTAAAATACAATGTTTTGAGCTTTATGGAAGTTTTAAACCTCTAACGACCATTCTTGCAGTCTCTAGAATTATTAGAATCACATAGCCCTTACCTCCTTGCAATCTGTCTTCCCTCAGTTTGCTGCTGAGCAGTGAAGGCCATGAATCTATTTATTCTCAGATTGTTGTGTGCATCCTTTACACTGCTACATGGACCAAGTGAAGGGGGACTCTAGCAAGACTTAGCATTCACCAGTTACATTGACCAGTATCTCAAACCAAATTTTGATGTTCTTCAAACCCGTGGGCCCCTAAATTCCCTGATTATTCTATCTTGTTGTCCATCTCATCATTCAGACTTCACAACCTTGGCTGGCTCCAGTCAACAAGTATTTGGTTTCTCCTGTCTCTACTCTTATTTGGGCTTCTGCAAAACAGCCCTCCCAGTCTGCCTGGGCATGAGACCTTTGCAGGAACCAGCAGAGCAGATTGCCCATAGCTCTCAAATGAGAAATCAGCATTAACCAGTCCCTCTTTTTATTTATTTATTTATTTATTTATTTATTTATTTATTTATTTGAGATGGAGTCTCACTCTGCTGCCCAGGCTGGAGTGCAATGGCACGATCTCAGCTTACTGCAATCTCCACCTCCTGGGTTCAAGCCATTCTCCTGCCTCAGCCTCCCGAGTAGCTGAGATTACAGGCACCCACCACCGCACCCAGCTAGTTTTTGTATTTTTGGGCAGTCTGGTTTCAAACTCCTGACCTCAGCTGGTAATCCGCCCACCTTGGCCCCCACAAAGTGCTGGGATTACAGGTGTGAGCCACCGCACCTGGCCCCAGTCCCTCTTTTTAAAAGCTTTCTCTACCTTTGGACTTTATGGCTATGTACTATCTTGGTTTTCCCCCATGTCTCTTAACTATTTCTTTTCTACATCCTTTTTTGGGTAATTTACTTTTATCTTTTAATGATAAGCACCTCTAATTTTTGTTGCTTAGATTTTTGTTCTCTCTCTACTCTCTTTGCCTGGGTAATCTTATCTACTGCTGCTTCGATCAATAGACCATCATGTTTAAGGGCCTGCCCCACTTTCCCTTCTGAATATCTCAATAACAAATTAAGCCTACTTCTGATTTTCCTATTTCTGCTCATTTATACTAGCAAGTCTGTCCGTGTCAAGACTCACTCATGATGGGCCCTGACAACCTTGCCCTTGTTCAGAGTCTGTATTTTTATTTGATCTGGCTTGAAGTTTACTTTTTTTTACCCCTTGGTCATCTCTCATAAGGGGAATACTTTTCTACTGATTCCTTTACAGTTAAGATTTAAAGAAAAATAGGTATGAAGGGAGACATACAACTAGAAAGCCTGGTTTATAAAGTAGTTTTTGTTTTCCATTGGAGTCACATGCTGGGAAAATCCCTTTTTTATCTGAATCCCACTTCCCAGGTTCTGATTTCTTCTCTAACAGCCCAACTCTTCCTCTCATGGCTGACATCGAGAAAATCCACTCCCTTCTGGACAGACTCCAGCTCTTACCTACAGAGTTAGTCATTATTCTGTAGCCTCAAGAGGGCAAATAACCTGAGTTACTACACAATAAAAACCCTGTAAGCACCCACAAAGGATAAAAGGAAGGATGGCTAGCATTGAAACTCATATAGTGGAAGGTCTTTAGTGGAAGGTCTTAAGTGATGAAACTAGAGCCAACATGTAGGAAAAGTATCCCTTCCTCTAGCAGTTTGATTGCATTATAGCCCCAATTCTTCACCCCTCTGTGATCCATGTCTTTTGCATATGACTTTGCAGTTCCTCCCACTGAAGAGGCTGTGTATATTTCCCTAGCCTTTGACTTAGGTTCAGCTTTATGACTGCTTTGACTAAAGCAATGTTTGGTCTTGCTATCTTGCACCTCTGGCACTACTGTGGGAAGAACATGCTTGCTCGCCCCAGGAGGAGAATGAAAGACATAGGAAGCAGAGCTAAATTGCTCCAGCCAGGCCTAGGTCAGCCAGTCCCTAGCCAACTCCCAGACATGTACACAAACTCAGATAAAATTTGCAAAGCCACCCAGATGAGTTCAGCCTAGATCAGCAGGTCCTCCACTGAACTGCAGATCTGTAAAATAAATTATTGTCATTTTGAGCCTTTACGTTTTGGGATGTTTCATTATGCAGCATTTTTGTAGTCATCAGTAACTAATAGTTAACTCATAGCCCACTGTGCAGTTAAGCATCCTATTGCTATTCTCTGAAGGGTAAGAGGGGAATTCTGGAAACCAAAAGATTGATAACCATAGAGGCAAATGCAGGCTCTTTTCAGAGAGCATTTGTTACATCATATGAATGCATCCCTCCCACAGAAGTAAAAATGTTCAATGAGACTTTTTACTGTACCACTAATACTTTGCAGAAGTCAGTAGCTTCAGCTTGACTTAATTGACGCAGAGCATCTTTAACCAGGCGACTTCGTCTGACTCTAAGTATAAATCTGGGTGATGGAGGAAATTCATCCTTTTTTTGCAGAATTGTTTCATGCATAAGCATGTATGCTTTCTTTTCTGACATCTGGAAAAATAAATTTTTTAGTTGGCTTCTCCTTTTGACCTCATAGGAATCCCAAGGATTGTTTAATACTTCCAATAAACATTTTGTGTAGTATATACTTAATCCTGCCATTGCTATAAACATTCACATTGTAATTATTTAAGAAAACAGACAACATATCTGCCTTATGGAAGGTGGAGTGATTGTAGGACCAAAGAAACTATGGTTACCTAGGAATTGTGTACAGGAGATTAGTTAGCATGGATGAACAGCTAAGTTATTAAAAGCTATCTCAGATTATTTATTATAGTAAACATCATCCTTAAAGGCCATACTGGTATTCAACATGCTGAGACATTCATCCACCATCAGTCTTAAGACACAGAGCATTAGCATTGTAATCCTCAGGAATATAAAGACAGTATAAGAGCTCAGGGATAATGTGAGCTGTAGGAAAAAGACAGAAGACAGACTTCCTCAGAGAAGATCCACTCTTCTCTTTCCAATAACTATGATCCATCCATGGGAACTCTTTAAGAATATGCCACAGGTGGCCTCATTTTATATCTAACATTACTCCTGGTCACACTAAATAGTACTTCTTTTAGCTTTTCTGATCACCCTAAGTACTTCTCTTTAGCTTTTCTGAATTCTCAACATTGTCTCACTATTTTAATCTCTGATCTTGTTTCTGTTGAACTTCTTTAGATTAGAAATCTAGTGTTGGACTTGCTATCCTTGCTTTGACCTTCAGCACTCCTCAAGGGCTTCAGTTACATCACAAGGACAATAAATGAGGATTTAGAACTCAAACCAATGTAGCCCTCATAGGGCCTGTCCTGAAATCGTGACAGCAAGACCAGAGGATAATAGCTATCCTACCCCAGGTTCCTAGGCTGGGTGTGTTTGCCCACATTCACTCTCTACAAGCACTTCAGAGAAGTGTGCATATGGCCCTGGGGTTGGGAAATCCCTGCCCTGGGTATCTGCCACCATTATATACTAAGAAATTTGTCTGTTATTACTAGATTCTTCTGGTTTTTCTTTAAGATTTTTTTTTTTAGGCACCAGATTTGTAGGGAAAAGGAACAAGTTCCATCTCTGTTCCTTTCTGGTGGTGGGTCATCACCTCCTGTGGCCCTGCAGAAGTCTGCAGGTCTGGGACATCCAGCAATACTGACTACTGAGCAACATGTTCCATGGGTCTGAGTTCCATGGGTTTGTGGCCAGCAATGTCCTCCACTGACTACAGCAGGGAGAGGTGTCTGTACCTTCTTTTACATAACCAAGAGCTAGATGGGAAACCTGCCTCTTAGCTTAATTTCTAGCTTCTCTACTCCGGTTCTCTGTATATTGGTTTTACCTTTTCACATTTACACATTTGAATTGGTGATCCACTTTGGAGCTTGCAGTTTTAACTATATCCATTATCTCTCCTTTGGAGAGCAGGATTGTAAAGTCAGCTTTCCAGCTTCACTCATAACAACTAAAAGTAAGAGTTTTCTTGTCCTCAGACTTTTCCTAGTCTTTCATAATGTGCAATCTGCCCGAGTCCATTATTCACTCAACCCTCGACTACTCACTAGCAGAATAGACAAATGACCCAGAGAGAAACATGACTATAGGAGAAAATACCATAAAGGGAAGGTCTTGTTTAAGGGAAATTGATGGGAAAGTTAGGTTTGGAAAGGAAAGACAATCTATTTTCTCCCTTTACCAGGGATGTTACAAAAATAAAAACAGATGGCTCAGAAATAAAAGAAGAGATGACCTGGTCAAATATATTTGTAAACATGCTGGTAATAGGCACTAATAATAGTAACTAGTCCGG
The DNA here is from genome assembly GCF_000001405.40 of Homo sapiens. Lineage (NCBI taxonomy): Eukaryota > Metazoa > Chordata > Mammalia > Primates > Hominidae > Homo > Homo sapiens. Next base: position 88,426,769 of record NC_000004.12, on the reverse strand, counting down.
GCGTGGTGGCTCACGCCTGTAATCCCAGCACTTTGGGAGGCTGAGGCGGGCCGATCACCTGAGGTCAGGAGTTCGAGACCAGCCTGACCAACATGGTGAAACCCCGTCTCTACTAAAATACAAAAATTAGCTGGGTGTGGTGGGTGCCTGTAATCCCAGCTACTTGGGAGACTGAGGCAGGAGAATCAGTTGAAACTGGGAGGTGAAGGTTACAGTGAGCAGAAATCGCACCATCGCACTCCAGCCTGGGCAACAGAGCTAGACTCTGTCTTAAGATGATGATGATGATAATAATAATAATAAGCCGGGTGCGGTGGCTCACGCCTGTAATCCCAGCACTTTGGGAGGCCAAGGCAGGCAGATCACTTGAGGTTGGGAGTTCGAGACCAGCCTGACCAACATGGAGAAACCCTGTCTCTACTAAAAATACAAAATTAGCCAGGCATGGTGGCGCATGCCTGTAATCCCACCTACTTGGGAGGCTGAGGCAGAAGAATCGCTTGAACCCGGGAGGCAGAGGTTGTGGTGAGCTGAGATTGCACCATTGTACTCCAGCCTGGGCAACAAGAGCAAAACTCTGTCTCAAAATAATAATAATAATAGGAACTAGAGGGACAGCCCTTACCTGTGGAATGCTACTAGCAGGATATACCTTGTCTGTCTAGGTTGCTTATTATAAATAAACCTGGAATTCGTGGATTTATGGGGCATGGCACATTGGAAAATGTCATGTAAGCCATGTAATTAGCGGGGTATAAAAAGGGAATGAATAACTGAAATGGCTTCTCTTGTGCATGTTCTATCTCAGACTTCTTATGTTTCACCCAGATGCATCCTTTGAATTAGTAATAAAAGTCAATAATGGGTATAAGTTCTGATTCCTATGAGTCTTTAAAATATAAATATCATAGAAAAATAGATATAAACTTTTCATGAGGAATGACCTAGAAAACAAGCCTCAGCAATAAAAAAAAAGTTTGGAAAATTTGTTTTAGCATAATAAGGGGATGGCATTATATATACTTAACTGAGAACTAAGGCTGATGGTGATAAAAGAAACAAAATAGTATGTAAATCTTATGTGGGACTAATACAACTACCAGAAAAGAAGCAGAAGGGTGAAAGTAAGTGGAAAACAAAATAAACTCATTGATTGACTCATAGACATTATTTAAGAATAAAAGAATATCAGTCGGAGCTTATAAATCAAGCTCCAAGAAGCTTAAGGAGGTATTTTTAATCCAAAGATTAGCACTTAAGAACACAGCAATTAAAATTGGATAGAGGAGGAGAGGGAAGAGAGAAGGAAAGAACAGATTACTGGATAGCGTCAGTGTTGTTCATGGCAGGAAAACAATAGATACATATTATATAAAGAAAGTGAGGACTAGAACATTAAATAACAAGGAGAAATATAAATTAAAATCAACGTGAAATATCATGATTAACTCATCAAAATGGAAAAGATCACAAAGCTTGATAATACTCTGCATTGCTGAGAACAGCATGTGGAAGAGGCATTTACAAACTCTATAGAGGGTAATTTGGCAACATTTGATAATTAAAGGGATAGGAATTAATTATTCTACCTTCCTATGTGAATGGTCTTTAACCATTTTGGAGGAACCAAGTGCCCTGACTGATAAGGAAAAGCTCTTTTTTACCTAATTCCAGGAAATGACTTTGGAAGGAATAAGATTAGAAGTATTGCCATACCACAAACCTTAATGAAAATAATGGATGAAATTATTAAATAAAAGGTTAATGAGAAACAATGAAAGAATCATGTGGTTGCCACTTGAACCACTCATGAATCTCACAGTGAACACGAGTAGGACAACCAGAAATAATGCATTGAAGTATGGGCAGGTGAAGAGACATTGGAACTGAAATTTGCTGTAAAATACTTCAGCAAAAACAGTAACAACAACAAAGAAAAAAAGTGATAGATAAAAGTGTGGCAAAATGTTGACAATTGCTGAATCTTGGTGATGGGATTCATTATACCACTATCTCTATTTTATATATGTTTGAAATTTTTCATACTAAAAAATAGGACATACATACCTGCATCTTTATATGTGAATCAGCTTGCAATAATTTAATTTTGGATAGCGAATTAAAGATAAATGGAAAATCACTGAAAATAACAGGACTGGGGGTTTCTGCAGGTATCTAAAAAATAAACAGAGATAATAGTTTTGATAATTAAAAACAATGAAAAAAAACTTACTTCCTTTACCTTATCGCCTTTTTTTTGGAATCTGGTTTTTGTGGTTCTTTGTTTTTTTAAGGCAGAGTCTTGTTCTATTGCCCAGGCTGGAGTGCAGGGGCATAAACTTGGCTCACTAAAACCTCCTTCTCTGGGCTCAAGTGATCCTCCCACCTCAGCCTCTTGAGTAGCTGGGAGTACAGATACGTGCTACCACGTATTTGTATTTTTTCGATAGAGACAGCGTTTCACCATGTTGCCCAAGCTGGTCTCAAACTCCGGGGCTCAAGCAATCTGCTCACCTTGGCCTCCCAAAGTGCTGGGATTACAGGTGTGAGCCACTGCACCTGGCCTCAGAAATCTGTAAGAATCCGAATTACTTAGAAACAAAATTTCAAAAACTGCATTTGTTTTATGATTAAAATATATTTAAGTTTTCAGTGATCATCAAATTTAGCAAATTTATCATTGCAATTAAAAAATTTTCAAATCCTGATTTATCAAAGAGTACCTTTACAGATACTACAGTAATGTGTCTTCCTTTAAAATATGAACATTTTCAGAAGTAAAAATGTTATTCTTACCAGGTGGTTATCCCGAAAGAGCTGTCTTCCTCTATCTATATAAAAGTTTAATAAGTTGGAGAGTTCATTTATGTTGAAAGTATTTTCTGGTAGTCGACAGTTAGCTTTGTTTACCTTAAAGAGAATATGACCTGTGAATTTCATTTTCTATCAATAAGTGATTTAATCTATGATATATAGATATATATGTATGGCTGTTATACAGATAAGAAGAAGAAAGCTCTCTAAACTGAAAACATTTGTCAGTGATGAAATAGAGTTCTATAAAGTTTCCATTTTCTGAGCTATAATTTCCTTAATTTTCATGAAGAAATGTCAAAGATAAGACGCTGACAGTGTGGATTAGTAAACTAATTTTTAGGGCATAGATTTACTGGAAATAGTTTCTAGATTTTGAGAATAAAAGCACCATAAAAATCCAAGGTACTTTTAACAAATTCAGCACTTTGCTCCTTAATTAATAAATACTAACTTGGCACACACTATTTTTGTCAAGCACAGGACAAATCTTTAGATTAAAATGTCCTGTCTTACACAAATGAATGTGGATCTATTCCCATAAAACTGTATTTGCAAAAACAGGAGACTGCCCTTGGGTGTAGATTGACAATCTGTGGTCTAGTAGGTAAAAACAACAAGTTACCAGGAATTTAGGATACAGTTTCTGATTGGGGAAAGACTTAAGAGGTTCAAGAAGGCTTCCTAGAGGAAGCATCAGTGATCTAAATGATCTAAATGCCTCCATCACAAAAATGAATCCAAATGATAGAAGGTGGGAAATAAGAAACTTAAGAACATAAATTAAGGAAATGAAAAACAAATATACAGGAGCAAGATCAACAAATGAAAAGACTGCGTCTTTAAAAAAGAAAAAACAATTTCCTGGTAAGACTTTAAAAAAAACAAAAAAAAAAACCAGTATCAAGAATGAAAAATGGGGCAAAACTACAGATTGTGATGAGATTAAAAAGATAAAAATAGGACATTTGAAAACTTAGATAAAGAGACAAATCCTGGGGAAATACCCAGCAATACAAGAAAAAAATAGAAAATCTCAATAATCCTGTGGCTGTTAAATAAATTAAACCCATAATTTAAAAAACTTCCGACAAAGAAATTTCCAGACCCAAAAGGTTTATAGATTAGTTCTACCTATCATTTAAGGAAAATGCTAGTATTATACAATCTTTTACATAAAATAGAGAAAGAATATTCCCCAAATAATTTCATGAGATTAGCATTACCTGGTCCAGAAACCTCACAGGGGCATTATGAGAAAGTAAAATAACAAACCAGTCTCACTCATGAATATAGATGCAAATATGATAAGCAAAATATCAGCAAATGGAATCTTTGAAATCTATAACACATGAGCAGGCTGTGTTACTTCAAGTAGATAAAGTTAAAACAGCTGAAAACCCATCTGTGTATTTTGCCATCGTATGCAGAAAAAGCATTTAATAAAATTCAGTATCCATTCATGATCTAAAAGAACAAAGCCCTCAGCAAACTAGAAATAGAATGAAGTTTCCTTAACCTTTTAAAAACGTATCTACAAAAATCCCACAGCAAAACATAAAACTGGATGTTAAGGTTTTCCCTTTGAGATCAGAATAAGGTTATAAAACATTATACTGGTTGTCCTAGCCAATGAAATAAGTAAAGAAAAATAAATAGGAACAAAACTGTTATTATTTCAAGTTATATGATTCTATACAGAGAAAATCCAAAGAAGTCAAGAGATTAGTTTTAGTAGGTAAATTTAACAAGATTGTTAAAAAACAAGCTTAATGTATAAAAATTACTGCATTTCTATACATCAAAGACAGTTAAAAATTTAACTTTTAAGAGGAAAAAGTAGATGAATTTATCATCAAAATAAAAAACATTTGTGCATAAAGACACCATGGTGAAAGTGAAAAAACAACACATGGGAAAATACTAGCAAATCGTATATCCGATAAGGGACTTGTAACTGTATGTAAAGAACTCTTATGACTCAATAATAAAAAGACTAATAAACTAATTTTAAAATGGACAAAAGACCTAAATAAACATTTCTCAAAATAAGATACAGAAATGGGCAATAAGCATATGAACTGCTCAACATCATTAGCCATCAAGGAAATACAAGTCAAAATCACAAGGAAATATCATTTCCCACTCACTAGGATAACTATAATCCAAATGACAGATAATAACAAGTGTTGGCAAGAATGTGGAAAAGTGGTCGGGTGCGGTGGCTTATGCCTGTAATCCTAGCACTTTGAAAGACTGAGGTGGGTGGATTACTTGAGGTCAGGAGTTCGGGACCAGTCTGGCCAACATGGTAAAACCCAGTCTCTACAAAAATACAAAAATTAGCCAGGCATGGGGTGTACACCTGTAATGCCAGCTACTTGTGAAGCTAAGGCAGGAGAATCGCTTGAACCTGGGAGGTGGAGGTGGCAGTGAGCCGAGATCCTGCCACTGCATTCCAGCCTGGGCAACAGAGCAAGAATCCGTCTCAAAAAAAAAAAAAAGAAAAGAAAAGAAAAAAGAACGTGGAAAAACTAGAACTGTCATACATTGCTAGTGGTAATACAAAATGGTGTAGCTGCTTTGGAAAACAGTCTGCTGGTTCCTCACAAGATTAAACTAGAGTTGCCATATGACCCAGATATCCCACTCTTGGGTATATACGGGAAATGAAAACATGTCTACACAAAAATTTGTACAGACATTTAAATAGCGGCATTATTCATAATAGCCAAAGAGTGGAAATAACCCAAATATCCATCAATTGAGGAAGGGATATATAAAATGTGGTATTTCATACAATGCATTATATTATTCATCAATAAAAAAGAATGAAGTACTCATACATACTCCAACATAGATGAACCTTGAAAACATTATGCTAAGTGAAAAAAGCTAGTTACAAAAGACTACATAATGTGTGATTCCATTTACATAAAATGTCCAGAATAGGCAAATCTGTAGAGACAGAAAGTAGATTAGTGATTGCCTAGGGCTGGAGTGAGAATAAGGGGATGGGAGTTGAGGGGGAATGGGGAATGGGGAGTGACTGCTAATGGGTATAGGGCTTCTTTTTGGGTGATAAAAATGTTGTAAAGTTGATTTGGGTAAAGGTTATACAACTCCATGAATATGCTAAAAAGTATTACATTGCACATTTTATTTATTTATTTTTATTTTTAAAAAAATAGAGACAAGGTCTCACTATGTTGCCCAGGCTGGTCTCAAACTCCTGAGCTCAAGCAATCTTTCCACCCTAGCTTCCCAAAGTGCTGGGATTACAGGCATGACATTGTATATTTTAAATGAGAGAATTATATCTCAATAAAGCTGTTTTAAAAAGATATATAACCACATAAAATATCAAGTACTCATGATTTATCTAATAAAAGACTGCAAGACTTCTACATAGAACACTATAACATATTATTGTAAGAAACTGCAGAACTAAATAAACAGAGAGCTATGTCATGATCAGACTTAGAAGACTCAGTAAAGTTGTCATTCTCTCTCCAATTGTTCTATAGATTCATTTCACTACCAGGTCAAAGACACAATCAAAAGCCCGACAAATGGAATTTGTGGAATTGGAACAAAAAGGTAATTCTAAAGTTAATATTTAAGTTTAACAATAACACTGAAGGAGAAGATAAAAGTTGAAACTTTATCACATATCAATATTTATTATAAAGATACAGTAACTTGTACGGTGTTATACAGGTACAAGGATAGATTAACAGCCAAATGAATACTTGATTTTCAACACAAGGAGTACTACAAAGCGCCAGGGAAAGAGGTGTATTTTATTAAGAAGTAAATTTAACCTAGAAAGAAAACGAAAGTTAGTGTGAGAAACAGTGCCCTGCTCTGACACCCTATATATAGTAAGAGAGAATGAAACCCAAAAAGAAAAAAGCCGAGAGAGAGAGAGAGCAGAGGGAGAGGGAGAGGAGAAGACAGAGGATTGATGACAATGTTTGAGGGAGAGGGAGAGGGAGAGGGGAAGAGAGAGGATTTATGACAATGTTTGGGTCCTAGGATGTACGTCTGAAGTTAGCATGACCTAATATTGTGCTTTCTCTATCACAACATTAGTAAAACAAATATAGTCTTCCAATTGTCCACAATACTAGAGACCATTCCAGAACCGAGACCAAATATTATGTTTATTAATTGCAGCTTAAGACAGTAAATTACAGTGTAATGGTCTTAATTACTAATTCATTATTAATTAGTTTAATAGCTTTTCTTCCTAGGCACAAGAACATCAAAGCATAAATCCTTCAGGTATCAGCAATGACATCACTTAAGAATTTCTCAGAATCTTTGGCACCACCCCAGGCCTACCGGATCAGAATCTGAATTTTTTAACAAGATCTCAGGTAACTTGCATGCATATTAAAGTTTAAGAAGTGCTGCCCTAGGTGCCTTAGACATTAGTGCTCATTACTCTGGTCTACTTCTCTGGAATTTAAGAGCTCTTCTGTGAATCACTGATCACTGTGAATTCAGACACTCATCTGTAACATGGTTGTGTCAATCTTTAGATCTAGTCAAGAGTCCAGTCTGATTTCTCTTTATTGGGACTACCACCCAAAGCAGAATGAGGATGATGTAACCACGCCCAGTGACTTCTGGATACCACTGACTCTAGGTAACTCTACTAAAACAGACTTTGCATTCTTGGTGACCCTAATGTTGACACAGCCATAGAGAACGTGGACACCAAATCCTAATGGCCTCATTTGATATTTCTACAGTGGGATTTAGCAAATATTCTGATATAGACAGACTGAGTTGATCTAACAGTATCCATTGGGCCCTTTCTTTGTTCTGGCCATAGTCCTCGGTGAACTTTTCTTCCTTTCTATTTAATTTTTACTAAGTTACAAATAAAACATATATGTTTCATTTATAAATCACATATCTGGGCTGGGCACAGTGACTCACGCCTATAATCCCAGCATTTTGGGAGGCGAGGCAGGCGGATCACTTGAGGTCAGGAGTTCGAGACCAGCCTGGCCAACATGGTGAAACCCCATCTCTATTAAACATACAAAAATTATCTGGGTGTGGTGGCAGGTGCCTGTAATCCCAGCTATTCCGGAGGCTGAGGCAGGTGAATCACTTGAACCCAGGAGGCAGAGGTTGCAGTGAGCCAAGATCACACCACTGCACTCCAGCCTGGGCAACAGGGCTAGACTCTGTCTCAAGCAAACAAACAAACAAACAAAAAAATCACACATGTGTAGTGTGATGGGTCTCTCACCAAGTTACTTAAGGGTTTTTATCCAGTGCCTTAACCCTGAAGGCCAGGCAATGAGCCAAGGCCACGGTGCCCAGCTGAGGAGCAGGTGTCCCTGAGAACCCAAACATCCTGGAGAGTATCTGAGAACCTACCAAGAAAAACATTCTCATGGCTCAAACACTGTAGCTCTTTGAGCCAGAAAATTCGCTTAAAAGCAGTTTAGAGATGGGAGGCAGCACAGATCACTAGAGCTGTCCTATTGCCGTCCAGGAGTGCCCTGTATGTAAGTCCTAATAGACAACATCTACTCATCAAGCTGGGCTTGTCCTAAGTCATTTTTTGGTCTTTTGGCTCGCTCCTACTTTGAGGGAGGGTTTTTCTATGTGATTCTGGGTTTTTTTTCTTACAACATACATTGACTAAGTGCATACATCTTAAATGTGCAGCTTGGTGAGTTTTTACACACATACTCACTTGGGTAAGTACTGTCCAGGTGAAGACATGGAACATTTCTAGCAGGCCCCAGGATGTTCTCCTATGCTCCTTCCAAACCAATTGCCCTTCCCAAGAGGTAACACCATTCTGCTTTCTGTCATTATAGATTAGCTCTGCTTGTTTTTAAAATTCTTATAAAAGATGACATAGAGTGTAATTTTTGGTGTGTTTTTTGCTTATCACTGTGTTGATGAGATTCATCCATGTTGTTGTATGTTGTTACATGTAGCAGTATCTTCAGTGTACTTTACTTTTTTTTTTTTTTAAGAAATGTGGTTTTGCTCTGTCACCCAGGCTGGGGTACAGTGGCACAATCATAGCTCACTGCAGCCTCAAATTCCTGGGCTCAAGCCATCCTCCCACCTCAGCTTCCAGAGTAGCTAGAATTACAAGCACAGTGTACTTTTTCTTAATGAAAGAAGTCCATTACAAAACATCTTAAGTCCTCCTAAAGTTTCTCAACTTTTAAATCCCTAATTATTTTATGCCAAACATTTCCCTTTTCTATACTCCTTTAAAAAACATTTGACTCCTCATGATTTTTATTTGACTTCTTAGAAGTCCAACTGGTTGAGACTTAAGGGATTTTGATTACATAAAATAGTACATGCATTCCTTTAGAGTAACCCTTACCTTATGCAGTTCTTTCATCATTCCTAAAAGAGCTTTAACATTACAGTGATCCTGTTCGGTTTTAGTCTGATGAAGCAGCTGAGAGATGATGGCTGCTTTAAGCATCTGGATCAGCGGATTCAGAGAAGATTCTTGCAAAAATGCCCAACACTTCTCTGGGGGTGTAAAATTAGCCATGATAAATATGTTTTTCCTACCACCCCCCAAATCTCTGTTTCTAGTGGGTTCTTTAATGTAAGAAATAGATAATATTTTACATTTCTGATGGCATAATTTATGAATATCTTTTTTAAGTATATCCTGCACAACAGTTACTGCTCACAGATGTGGAAATTTTTTTCCCTTATTAAGTATCATTAGAATTTTGAAAAGCTCAAATTCAGGATTTGAAGAAATTGGTTAATGGCTCACATTTATGCTTAATTGATTGACTTCATGATTTTCAAACTGACAATTGTATAGGGTATCTATGAAGTCTGAAAACACACACAGGTGAATACACAAACACATACAATGGCATCAAGGACGTTTTTAATCTGTAAAAAATGAAAAAATATTATATATGTGTTTGGATTTTATGAACATCTGGTACATGGCCATGTACTTTTTAAAATAGCCAATAATTATATTTTAATATTACTGGATTGCAACATGGATTTGGAATGTGGAACCTTTAAATTCTCAGAATAACTCTCAGAAAACAAATAAATTTGATGTTAAAATACATTATCAAGCAAATGTAATTAAAACAGTATTACCTAGATATATGAAAAGCAAACACATAGAGATTCCATAAGTAGACTCAAATACACACGAAACTTTAATACATAATAAATGCGGCATTGCATATTAGTGGGAATGAAAAAGATTTAATAAATATGTGGGGAAAACTGGAAACTGATCTAGAAAAAATAGTGTTTAACCAAGATAAACTTCATATGGATCAAATATTTAAATATAAAAATAAAATAATAACAATTACAGCAGGAGGATGGGAATTATTTTAGTTATAAATTATTTTTGAAGTATGACCCCAAATCCAGAAACCATAGAATAAAATATTAATATAGTAGGCTACATTAAAATTTTTTAAAATAATTCTGCATAGCAAAAATACCACAAAGTAAAAAAAAATTTTTAATAGCCTAAATACTTGCAATTCATATTATTGATAAAGGATTAATTGCCTTCATAATTAAAAAGCTCCTAAAATAAAACAGAAAAATACTAACAACCAATAGGAAAAGAGCAAAGAAGGAAGAATAGCAAAACCGCTCTCACAGGGTTAATGGGAATTATAAGCCAGGCTTTATGCAGAATTATGGTCATTGACGAGGTCAATTGACTAGGGTGTGCTGGTGCACTTCAACCCACTTCCCTGAGCTGATAACTAACCCTGAGTCACACAGCACACTGAGCACCTGCTCTCCCATTGTTCCTATGGATAAAATCTCTGACACTGGACCTTTTTACCCAATAATTATTTAAGGCATTTTGCAGATCCTGAATTCCAGCAGAATGGCTGACACCAACTGGTCTGAAGACCCTCACCAAGGAACTGACTCAGTGCAGGAATGCAGTTTCTTCATCTCCCTATCCCTGACTTCACCCCTCACTTCTCAACCAATCAGTGATCACCACACTTTAGGCCATCACCTGTGTCCAGACCCCTTAAAAACCCCATCTGCAAACCTCTTGAAGAGGCATATTTGAGGTTTCCTCTCATCTCCTCATTTGGTTTCCCTACAATTATTAAATTCTTTCTCTGCTGCAACTCCTACTTTTTCAGTGTATTGGTCTGTTACTGTGCAACAGGAAATCAGACCTGGTGGTCCTATAGTAAGAGTTCACAGAATATGATATACAAAGTGATCTGTGATATACAAAAACCGGCACAATCTCACTCTTAATAAGAAAAATTCAACTTAAAATTAAAAGTTTTTTTTCCTCAGAATGGCAAAGATCAAAGTTTGATAACATGGTTGGAAAGTATGCAGACCGATATTCTCATATTCATTGATGAAGTGTAAATTGATACATCCTTTGTCAGTACGGACAGGTTTCCCAACTCTAGGGGTGAAATTTATACAGACTACAGTGTGAATGACAACCACTTCAAATTGGGTGATATGATGACCTTGACTCTGTGGAGGGTCATTTGGCAAAATATCTCAAAATAAAAATGTACATACAATTTGACTCAGTGATTTTGCTTTCTGGAATGTTTCCTGCATGTGTGAATTTATATATGTACAATGAAATGCTTCACAATAGAACATTCTTCAGCCATTAAATAGAATGAGGCAGTTCTATAGATTCTCTATTGGAATGATCTCCATGATATCCTGTTTAGTGGGAGAAAGCAAGTTGTGGAAGAGGAACTTTAATAGTTTGCTACCATTAAAAACAGAAATAATACATTTGTATGTTTCTATATATAGAATATCTTTCAAACGTTACACAAGAAACTAGAACCTGTAGCCACTTCTGGGAGGGGAACTGGGTGGCTTACATTTCATTGTACATATCCTCTGTACCTTTTTGTTTTTCTTTGAGATAGGGTATTGCTCTGTCACCCAGGCTGGAGTGCAGTGGTATGCTGATAGCTTACTGCTGCTGTCAGAGGCATTTGAACCAGAGCAACTCCATCTTGAATAGGAGCTGGGTAAAATAAGGCTGAGACCTACTGGGCTACCATCCCAGACAGTTAGGCGTTCTAGATGACAGAATGAGATCGGAGGTCAGCACAAGATACAGGTCATAAAGACCTTGATGATAAAACAGCTTGCAGTAAAGAAGCCGGCTAGAATCCACCAAAACCAAGATGGCAATGAGAGTGACCTCTGGTCGTCCTCACTGCTGTACTTTCACCAGCACCGTGACAGTTTACAAATGCCATGGCAATGCCAGGAAGTTACCCTATATGATCTAAAAAGGGGAGGTATGAATAACCCACCCCTTCTTCAGCACATAATCAAGAAATAACCATAAAAATGGGCAACCAGCAGCCCCAAGGAGCTGCTCTGCCTGTGGAGTAGCCATTTTTTATTCTTCTACTTTCTTAGTAAACTTACTTTCACTTTATAGACGCTCCCTGAATTATTTCTTGTGTGAGATCTAAGAACCCTTGTTTGGGATCTGGATTGGGACCCCTTTCCAGTAATACAGACTTAAACTCCTGGGCTCAAGTGATCCTCCTGCCTCAGCTTCCAAGTAGCTGGGACCACAGGTGTGTGCCACCATGCATGGCTGATTTAAAAAAAAAAAAATTGGTAGAGTCGGGGTCTCACTATGTTGCCCAGGCTGCCCTCAACCTCCTGGGCTCAAAAGATTCTCTCACCTTAGTCTCCCAAAATGCTAGGATTAAGGTGTAAGCCACAATGCCTGGCCCTCTGTACCTCTTAAGTGAAGGAGTCCAGGGAAATTTGCCCCAAAATATGGCACCCTGGTATGCTGATTATTTTAAGTTAAAGGCCCTTGAAGGTCAGCAGATGCTGGAAAAGGCTTTTCTCTGACACTCCCTTATCTACCTTAAGACTGGACCCACTACAGAGAACAGAATTGCCTTTCATGCCATCTCTGAAATTACATTATCTGTCACAGACAAGACGACTGAGGAATGTAACCACACCTAGATGTATTTTTTCAAAAGATAATGCCTGCCTCTCAGGCTCATTCCAATTCCAAGGAGAATCATTTACAAGTTAATTTCTGTTTCCTGGGTCACTCATTCTCCCTAATAGTCATTTACTACTCCTCAAAAGAATTGTCTACATTCCCTACCTCCCCTCTCCTCTATGTAGAAGGGTATATAAACATCTGGACCCCATTGGGTTATTGGGTAATCACTGAACTTTCAATATACGCTAAAAGCTATAAAAGGACATAATACAGTACTGAATAAAGTAAATAATAATAATACAAAGTTTAACATTTGTTTTTCATCATCTGGTCAAAATGTCAAAAGTTTCAAAATAACATGAGCAAAAAATTTTAAAGTATGGATTGATCTTGATTGAATACTTTATAGCTACCAAACTCTGATGTCAAAGCCACATCCAAGTCTAAAATGAATACCTTATAGCTACCAAACTCTGATGTCAAAGCCACATCCAAGTCTAAAAACTACACCTGCTTTGTATGATAGAACTAATAATTATAATAGCTTTAGATTATTAATCTTTTCAATAATTTACATGCCATGTTCTCAAATACTTGTCTATTTTGAAATCTTCTATTCAAAATTTGCTACAACGTCTACTTCAGAGAGTGACTCTATATTGAGAGTACAGATAAAGTGACATAAAACTTACTTAGGACTTGCAAAGATTGTTTACTCATTTCACACACAGCCTTTGCAAATGGAACCACCAGGTTCTTCCAGTTCTTAGAATCATGCATCACAGGACATTCTGGGAGCAGGAGGAAAACTGATAAAGCTTCTTGGTGTGGAGAATGGCATGGAAGAGCTCTGAGCAGATCATCCTCGAGACACGTAGTTATCTGTGGTAAAAATAGGATCAGGGAACAGACCCAGGATATATTAGATACAGAGGATTGTGAGAAGCAAGCTGTGAAATTAAGGGTTTCACTCCACCATGTTCCAATTAGAATAATCACTTAGCCATTCTGAAACCTATTGATGAGACTCCATCACTCCTTCCATCCCAAATACCCCTGATATAGTACATGAGAGCCATCCTCCTCATTTTATATCAGGTTCCCTGAAGAAAATAAAGTGAAATCCCATGAGCATGGATATACTGAGTGAATTATGGATTCAAAACGAATACAAAGCCCTTCAAAAGCAATGTTGTATGCAGGTCACATTAGTATTCCTCCTTCTAGAAGGAAGAGCTGTCCCCTTCCCCTCACACAATATCCATTTCTTTCTTTCTGTTTTCTCATGTATCAGTAGAAAAATTTGCAGAGAAAAATAGCTCTAAATTTTTATATTATTTATTTCATCCAGAGGTAAAGTTTTACTTCAGCGTGTAGTGGCTCAATTACAGCTGGAGTGCAGTGGCTCAATCATAGCTCACTGCAGCCTCAAGCTCCTTGGTTGAGGCAATCCTCCCACCTCAAGACTCCTAAGTGGAGTGCACTGCCACAGCCAGCCCATTTTAGAAAATTATTTGTAGAGATGGAGTCTCACTATGTTGCCCAGGCCAGTCTCAAACTCTTGGGCTCAGGTGATACTCCCACCTTGGCCTCCCAAAGTGCTAGGATTACAGGCATGAGCCAGTGTACCTGGCCCAGAAGTAAACTTTTAAAATAGGACGTATATAAAAACATACTAGTGGGAATAAACTTGTATGGTATTCTTTATATTTGTTTGAACATTCATTGAGTACTTACAATGTGTCAGGTGATCTCGTGTAAATCATTTTATTTAATCTTACTGATAATCCTGTAAGGTAATTTTTGCTTTATTTGTGTTTTACCTTGTTTTTACAGATGAGCAAGGAGAGACTCAGAGGAAGTCAGCGTTACTCGATTAGAAAGTGACTGTGGCACTACCATAGTAGTAAAATCTACCATGGCAGAGAAAATGCCATATGTTCACCTTGCCAGTCGTTTTTCTTTTTCCTCCTGGGTTTATAGGAAGATGGCAGCCCCTGGCTCCCCTGCAATCAGGCAGGGCCATGTGACTGAGTCTTAGCTCACCAATGTGGGAGAAAGTGATGTGTGACACATTAAGGCCAGGCCACTGAAACCTCTCATGGGAACTTCCATACTCACTTCCCTCATCTGCTAGCCAACCCAAAAGATTGAGTGGAGGATTTTACAGCCCCAGGGCCTAGAGATGCTGGAAAGAAGCCTGATTCAGCCCTGAATGAACCTGTGCAAAGGTGCCTCTGACCTCCAACCCTTGTTGGACTAGGATGTTGGAAAATACTGTGTTAAGCTACTGGGATTTCAAAGTTGTTTGTCATAGCAGCTAGCCATATTTACTCTACCTGATAGATCTATGTTCTGTAATTACAGTGTTTGCCTTTCATGTCCTAAGGGTAAATAAGTGATATATGCAACAATAAACTGTGATGTACTATATATTGTTTTTATTACATTAAAATTCTTAAAATTTGCTTTTTCACATGTCTAGCAGAATATGATTTCTGTGGAATGCCAGTAGGTGTTATGCCAGAAAATAGCATCACAATGTCAAATAACTCCAAGAAAAATAGGGTCAAAAGAGATTTCTTTTAGTGTATGACATCATAGAATCTTTGATTTCCTAATGCGCATATCATGACTCCATAATAGTAGGGAGTGTTCCCAAAGTTTTCTCATTAAGAACCCTTTTTTATGGGGTTTTTTATAAAACTAATGTCCCTTGGAACTTACACCGGGAACAGCACCCCAAATTATCTCCCATATCACCTAAATTCATTTAAGAAATATACTTCATAATATTTGCTATTATCACTTCATCTTGAAAATGAAAATATTGTATCTACTACACATTAAGGAACACTTTCCGCCTGTCCCTTCCAAGTATAAGGACCCACTCAGACCCATCAAAATGGTATAAAGATTATTTTACTAACTGAAGACATTTGAGATGCCTTTTTGGAGCTTCTTTTATCTAACTAATGCAGAGCTCTTCTAGTATGAAGCTCTTGTACATCCCCCATTGAGGAGCTACACTGCTAAAAAGGAGACCAATCATTCAGACAACTTGCATGTGGATGAGAAATTGCATAAACAAACATTCTCACAAACTGTCATACCTTCCATTTGTCTCCATAAAATCCCATTTGTTCTTCCCATAGGAGCCCTTTCTCCCTTCTCCCTTTCCTCCATTAAGTTGGTTTATAAATTCTTATCCCTAGCTGTTCAGGGAGCCTCTTCATCTGAATGCCCCACATGCAAGCGTACAAAACTTGTTTTTTTCCTCCTGTGCTATAGGCTAAATGTGTTCCCCAAAATTCATATGTTAAAATCCTAACCCCCAATATGATAGTATTAAGAGGTGGGGCCTTTGGTAGGTAATTAGGTCACAAGATTGGAGCTCTCATGAATGGATTAGTGCCCTTACAAAAGAGACCCCAGAGAGATTTCTTGCCCTTTTTGCTGTGAAAGGAAAATAAATCTTCGGGCCTCAAAATCACTAAGCTAAAGGGGAAAGTCAAGCTGGGAACTGCTTAGTGCAAACCTGCCTCCCATTCTGTTCAAAGTCACCCTTCTGTTCACTGAGATAGATGCATATCTGATGCCTCTTTTGGAGAGGCTAATCAGAAACTCAAAAGCATGCAACCATTTTTCTCTCATCTACCTAAGACCTGGAAGGCCCCTCCCTGCTTTGAGTTGTCCCGCCTTTCCAGACCAAACCAGTGTTCATCTTATATATGTGGATTGATGTGTCGTGTCTCCTGAAAATGTATAAAACCAAACTGTGCTCCCACTACCTTGGGCACATGTCATCAGGACCTCCTGAGGCTGTGTCACAGGCGTGTGTCCTCAATCTTGGCAAAATATACTTTCTAAATTAACTGAGACCTGTCTTAGATATTTGGGGTTCACACTGCCATGTGAGGACACTGAAAATATGGTCATCTATTAACCAAGAAGTGGGCCCTCACCAGACACCAAACCTGATGGTGCCTTGGTCTTGGACTTCCCAGCCTCCAGAACTGTGAGAAATAAATGTCTGTTGTTTAAGCTACCCAGTCTACAGCATCCTGAGCACTAAGAGATTCTGTTAATTATTAATTTTCAGTGACCCCATCCACCAGCTCAAACCTGAGTCAGGACAGGAAAAGAAAATTTTCTTCCCAATACAACCCAGAATCACACAATATTAAACTGGAATAGATTTTAAAGATGAATTCAACAGGTAAAGAAAATGTGATCCAAAGAGAAAGGATGAAGTAGTAACAGAGATTCATCTCAAATAGATGTAAGTTTCATCTCAGAATACAGAAGTGGCTTTTCAGTTGATCAGTCCAGGATAAGGTTATCCTGCTTCCCAAACCAATGCTCTTTTCCTATATCATGCTAGAGATTATCCACCTCTCGAGCATTGCTCTGATTATATTGAAAATAAAAATATTGTATCTATTGTACATTTAAGGATTCAATAAGAAAATAAATGTCAGCACCTAATAGTACCTGGAATATAGTAATTTCATAATGAACACTAGCCCCCTCTTTCGGCCCCAATCATAAAACCACCTTTGCAAAAGTATGACAGTAAGAGAAATCTGACATGGTTGACTCTATCTTGCTTCCAGCCTCACAGGTTGGCTGTCTTTTCTCATTCTTGGGCATGAGCCAAGCTAACTTTGGGAGAAATTTAGTTTATAGTTTAAATGATAATAGTCTGTCCCCAAAACTGAATTGTTCTTGTAAAACTAATGAAAGTCCAACAAGTTAGGAGGATGAAAGGGGCTTGAATTCTAAATAATTATCAGCCATTATTCTGGAGGTCATAAGATTTGCAACTTCCCCAATTACTCTTGCAAATAACATCATTATTTTAGAACTTAAGATTGGCCTTTTGAGATGTCTTTTCAGGTTTTTGCATTTCTGACAACTGGATGGTCCCACCTGGACCCATCAGCCAGTCCTGTGGCCCCCACCCAGGAACTGACTCAGCACAAGAGGACAGTTTCTATTCCCTATGATTTCATCTCTCACTCAGCCAGTCAGCATGCCCCCTACCCTAGCCCCCTGCCCACCAAACTGTCTTTGAAAAGCCCCTAAGCTGTGAGCCTGAGCCTTCATGAGATTGATTTGAGTAATAATTCTGTCTCCTACATGGCATGGCCAGCCTCATGTCAATTAAACTCTTTCTTTACTACAATGTCATAGTCTCAGTGGGTCGATTTTTGTTTCTGCAGTGGGCAGGAAGAACTCATCGGGCAATTACAATCATAGTTCCCATCTCACCCAGCTTCCAACAAAAATAAACTGCAATCGTATTTGTTCTATATCTAAAGTAAGTATTGGCTATTACCATGGAAGAAATCCATTCCTTTTTTGTTAACTTCTTGAAGGTATCTCTTGCCATTTCTAAGTCCACATCAATGGAAGTCGTTTCTCCAGTTCCTCTTTGGATACAAGAAATGCAAGAAACCACATAAACATAAGGAAAGGGATATTTCTAAAGTTTGTATGTCATTTGTTGCTTTATTACATATAAGATACAAACCTTTTTCTTAAAGCTTACCTCCTTTCAAAATAATCAACTTACTTGACATAAAAAATGTACAGTTTATGTTCTCCTTGTTAAAAGACAGTAGATAACAATTTATTATCTCTGTAGTGGCTACATCAAGTTTGGACTGCCATATTAACAAAATTTTACGTGCTGAATCTGACAACAGAAACCATCTGCCCCCGCACTCAGTTTGCACACTAAGAACTAGAACTACCTACCCCCCACCCTCCTTACCATTCATATTTACAGAACTTTGCAATTCCACTGTTTTTATTAGCATGACTTTACTTTTCCAGGAAACTTTTGCCCAGGCAAATGTAAATTGTTCATCATGGGAACTTCTTGAAAGACCCATTTAACTCTTCAATGGAGAGCATCAACAGTTTGTGCCCATAGATTCTTTGAATCCCTTATCTCAAAATCCTTACCTTACAGTTTGCACCCATCCTGGATTGTTGTACATTTACCCAGTCCAAGTCAAACCTCCAGCCTTCCCTCTCATATTGAAAGACCTCCTTAAGCCAGACTCCCAATTGTAAATAAATTCCGAACTGGTCTTTCCTCTCAGAAACAGTACCAACGCTTTGTCCAGGTGTGCTGTTCTCTCTGGCCTGTCTTATCAACAAGTTGTTTTAGTGATATTTGAGAGGCCAGCATTCAATAAGCCTAACCATTTTTAAATAATGCATTATCAAATATTGTATGCCAGCGGCAGTGGGTCATGCCTGTAATTCCAACACTTTGGGAGACCAAAGTGGGAGCATTGCTTGAAGCCAGGAGTTCAAGAGACTAGCCTGGGCAACATAGAGAAGACCTTGTCTCTACAAAAAAATTAAAAAAAAAAAAATTAGCCAGGCATGGTGGTGCACACCTGTAGTCCCAGCTACTTGTGAGGCTGAGGTGGAAGGATAGCTCAAGCCAGGAGTTCAAGGCTACAGGGAGCTATGATCAAACTACTGCATTACAGCGTGGGCAACAGCACAAGACCCCATCTCTAAACATTAAACAAAACCAAACAAACAAACAAACAAAATGCCGAGCATAGTGGCTCACGCCTGTAATCCCAGCACTTTGGGAGGCTGAGGTGGGCGGATCACTTGAGGTCAGTAGCTCGAGACCAGCCTGGCCCAACGTGGTGAAACCCTGTCTCTACTAAAAATACAAAAAAATTAGCTGGGCATGGTGGCGCATGCCTGTAATCCCAGCTACTCAGGAGGCTGAGGTGGAAGAATCACATGAACCCACGAGGCGGAGGCTGCAGTGAGCAGAGATCACGCCACAGCGCTCAAGCCTGGGTGACAGAGTGAGACCCTGTCTCAAAAATATAAATAAAAATAATAAAAATTTAAAAAAGAGGCTGGGCGCGGTGGCTCATGCCAGTAATCCCAGCACTTTGGGAGGCCAAGGTGGGTGGATCACTTGAGGTCAGGAGTTTGAGACCAGCCTGGTCAACATGGTGAAACCCCATCTCTACCAAAAAACATAAAAAATTAGCTGGGTGTGGTGGTGCACACCTGTAATCCCAGCTATTCAGGAGGCTGAGGCAGGAGAATAGCTTGAACTTGGGGGTGGAGGTTGCAGTGAGCCGAGCTGCACTACTGCACTCCGGCCTGGGTGACAGAGTGAGACTTCACCTCTAAATAAATAAATAAATAAATAATAAAAAAACAAAGAAAGATTTTCTCCTTGCTAGATTAACTGATTTATAGTAACATTAGGGCTAAAATATTTATGCAAGTACTAAAACAAAGTATTATAAATTTCCCCCTTAAAATATATTCTCTTTCGCAATCTTTGACATCTTAGGAGTTCCTCACTCCTGGGAAGTGAGCATGGATACTTTTTCACATTAGGAAGAAAACAATCTTCACATAGAAAAGATTTTCCCACATGCAGTAAGAATTAGCCTTAGGTGAAGTTATTGGCATCCAACAGTTCCTCTAATCCCACAAGCTGACTGAGAATGCAGCTGGGTTAAGAACTAATGGGACTGCCAAGAGGGTTGTACAACGGCAAGTAATAGCAACAAGGGTTAAGTGAGTACCACCTAGTGACCAGCAGTGGGTACAAGATGTGTATCACCATATTTTGAACCAGTGAGCAAACTTAACACCAAGTTAACAAGGGAGGGACAGGCAAAGGAGAACCCATATGAGTTACACTAGCTGCAGACAGATCAGCAAGGCATCAACCTCCAAAGAGGCAGAGGGCAGCCTAAGACCCTCTACACTGCTATTTCTCCTTCTCTTCCCTTTTACACACAGGTGCCATATTGGAGAGCTTGGAGGAAAGAGCAGAAATAGAAGACCCAAATATTGAGCATTACAGGAACTGTTTCAACTATTGGATCAGACCAAATGTTAAACCAAATAGGAGTAAAATCAGATTTTCTTCTGTAGCAGTGAGTTAAAGACAACATAAATAAGATCTATTTTTTAATTGATCATACACAGTAAAAATTGTAAAGTGTACTCTTGGCTTCTAAGTACTAAAGCAATGTGAGATTTAGCCGATCCTTTGTATATACAAAGATCCTGAAAAAACACCATTCCTTCTAATCAGACAACAGAGTAAAGTGGTATGAAGGAAGTAAACAATATTAATTAGGAATTATAACTTATGGTAGTCTAATAGAAAATTACTTCATAAAATGAAAGAATTCTATAACAACCTACAGAGTTCTCTGTGTTGGACTTTGTGGGCAAGAATAACAAAATTCACAAATTAAACTTACTTGAAACATTTCATTTTAAATATTTTCCAGTGTTTTAAATGAAGGTAAATCTTATGTAAGTATTACCTTTTCTTTAAAAAACTTGCAGTCAGACAAGCAGGAGATGAAAATATCATTCTAATTTCACTGTAAAAGTAATAACAAGGGGTAAGTCACAACATATAATAAAGCATGCCTTTTGAAAATCTTATTATGTCTGAATAAGTAAATGATGACGTGGAATAATTATTAATGAAAATAACTACTCTCTTAAGAGTCTCCCAAATCCTGGGTATACTTTGTTCATATTATTTCTAAATCTCACCAAAACCCTTTATAGTTGATTTGTTCAAGTCACGTAGGTTTAAATAAAACCTATCCCTGTGAAGACCAAAACTCATAAAACTCCAAAGGGGTAAACTATGAAGATATGAAAACAGTCCACCTTATTAAAGGCTTTGTGAGCTTTTTTGATTCACTCCTGCAACTCCCTCACCTAGTAAGTCACCTGGGATATCACATGTCCTCCATATATCTGTAAATGAGTACACTGATGACCTAGTCACACTAAGAGGCTGTAGAAGAGAATCATGGTCAAAATGCAAATACCTTCACAACAAAACCAAAACCTCTATCTTAGGATAAAATGACCAAAGCCCCAGAACCAGATAAAAGTGGCTTATAATTTATCAGACAGAGCCACCTTTTAGCCATTTCATGTTCAGTACTTCTTCTTTTCACTGCTATCCATTTTTCTGCCATGGACTGGCTAATTCGGCTTATTTCTGGCAGGGTTTTCCCGGGAGCACGTGTGGAACTAGTATCCTTCAGGGAAGGAAGAAACAAGAATGATCAGGAACACACACACGTTCAGTAGTAAATTATACAGTAAATCACCTGGCATGGGTGGTAAATAGGCCCTGCCCTCTTGGGTGGTAGCATTTGGTGGGAGGAGCTTTGGCGTCAGACCGGTAGGGCTATTCCACCTCCTAGCCTGGGCCACTTTGCTTGGTCTGAGCCTTAGTTTCATCATTAAAAAAGAAAAAAAAAAGTGAATGCAGGGCTTCAAACAGATACTTGTAGATCATTATTCACTGCAGCATTATTTACAATAGCCAAAAGATGGAAACAACCCATGTCCATAAACAGATGAATAGATTTTTTAAATATACATAAAATGAAATATTATTCAGCCTTAAAGGAATGAAATTCTGGCTGGCACAGTGGCTCATGCCTGCAATCCCAGCACTTTGGGAGGCTGAGGCAAGCGGATCACCTGAGGTCAGGAGTTTGAAACCAGCCTGGTCAACATGGTGAAACCTTGTCTCTACTAAAAATACAAAAAATTAGCCGGGCATGGTGGTGGTCACCTGTAATCCCAGCTACTCGGGAGGCTGAGGCAGGGGCTTGAGCCTGGGAGGTGGAGGTTGCAGTGAGACAAGATCATACCATTGCACTCCAGCCTGGGCAACAAGAGCGAAACTCCATCTCAAAAAAAAAAAAAAAAGAAATGAAATTCTGACACATGCTACAACATGGATGAATTTTGAAGACAAGCGAATGAAATAAGCCAGATGCAAAATGACAAATATTGTATGATTCCACTTATATGAAGTATCTAGAACAGGCAAATTCATAGAGACAGAAGGTAGATTCAACATTACCTAAAGCTGGGGGCGGAGAGAGGGAATGGGGAGTTATTATTTAATAGTTACAGAATTTCTGTTTGGGGTAATGAAAAAGCCTTGGAGATGGATAATGGTGACAGTTGAACAATATTGTGAAAGTAATTAATGTCACTGTCACTAAATTGTATACTTAAAATGATAAAAATGGCAAATTGTATTTATATATATTTTACCACAATAAATAAAAAGATAATAATACCTACCTCTCTGGGTTCCTTTTTAAAATTTTTTTTATTTTTATTTTATTATTATTATTTTTGAGACAGAGTCTTGCTCTGTCACCCAGGCTGGAGTGCAGTGGCATGATCTTGGCTCACTGCAAGCTCTGTCTCCCAGGTTCACACCATTCTCCTGCCTCAGCCTCCCGAGTAGCTGGGACTACAGGCACCTGCCACTGTGCCCAGCTAATTTTTTGTATTTTTAGTAGAGACGGGGTTTCACCGCGTTAGCCAGGATGGTCTCCATCTCCTGACCTCGTGATCCACCCGCCTCGGCCTCCCAAAGTCCTGGGATTACAGGCTTGAGCCACCTCGCCCGGCCTATCTGGGTTCTTAAGATTCAATTATAGTAAGTATAAAAAGCTTTGGGATTATAATAGGCACTCAATAATTAGTTTTCTTGTTCCCTTTAATCACCCACAAGTGTTTACTTTTATGTCAGTAACTCTCAAATTGTAATGTGCATCCAAATCACCTGGTGGGTGATTCTGGTGAGCTTGTTAAAGTAGATTGCTGGGCTCCACCCCATAGTTTCTGCTTCAGTGGGTCAGGGTAGAGGGTGAGAATTTGCATCTAAAAAATACTCCAGTGATGCTGATGCTGTTGGTTTGGAGATCACACTTTGAGAACCATTGCTCTATATAATACTTGAGACCAAATAGCCCAAACAGGGGTTTCAAAAATCACTGTCTGGAAAGAAAAATCCATTTTCAATACAGTCCTCCAAAGGCATTAGTGCTCTGCTATAACTTATACCTATGCCTCCACTGCACTTGTTATGAGCCAGGAAATCCTGCATCATTTTGGTTTAATGCTGAAATAAAAGACCTCTTGAAGAAGACAGGTAACCACGGCTCTTAAAGTTCCCTTCAGCTTCTTGATCTGAGTCCTGGGTTTTCCCTGTAGTTTGATCAAGAGGAAGAGTTTTTCCCCCCACATCCCAGGAAACTTGGGACAATGAGGTGCTCCCTCTTGGCAGTTACATACCATTTCTTCATTTTCTGCTTCAAAATCCCTAGCTCCTCCCAAATGCACAGCATGAGACTATGTCATCTGCCTCTTCTTGTTTTGTAATCTTCTCCCACTGTCCTGGTCACTCCCCTTCATTCATTGAAAGCTTCGGCACCTTGCTGTCTTCTTCATACCACGATTCCCATGGTCACCCTTCCTGCCCTCACTCTTGGTTACTTCAGAACTGATGAACCTGATCTATCTCCCACCTTCATCTCTCAATTCTTAATCATCTCCACTATTTTCCTCTGCTCCACCCCAGCCACACATGCCCTGGATCAGGGTTTTTAAACTGACACTACTGATATTTTGGGTCAGATAACTGTTTGTTGTGAGCAGCTGTCCTGTGTACCATAGGATGTTTAGTGGTATCACTGGCCTCTGTCTACCAGATGCCAGTAGCAGCCACTCCCAACACCATGCTCTCCCCTAGTTATGACAAACTACAATGTCTCCAGACATTGCCAAATATTTCCCGGAGCATGAAATCACCCCTAGTTGAAAACCACTGCCCTAGATACAGGTGAGAAGCTGGATGTTATAATTATCAATTGTTCCATCTTCTAAATTTCTATTGGAAATGTTCTCTTCTCTGACCATCATACACCATCTTACAGATTCACCTCCTTTAGAGTAAAACCTGCAGTCCAAGATTCTTTTGTCCGCCTGGATCTCCAATCAATTAGCCCTGTTGTTTGTCCATGATTCATCACCCTCTTTCATCCTCCTTACCCAGCTTAGATTCCATGGTTCATCACTATAATCACACCTATAACTCTTTTGTCCATTTCCTATTGTACTTACCTAGCAAAGTTCCATCTGTAATTAAACTTGACTCTGAATTACTCCAAAATCCAACTGAAGCAGCCTAACATCACGGGAGAAAGCTGCACAACTGTGCAGACTGATTTCACTTTAAGTCTATGACCACAGATTTCAAATGGGCACGTGATATTGTCTAATGGATTCCAAGGCTACCTGCTTTTTCCCCAAGACAACTATCACAACCCTTCCTTTTCTTCCTAAACCTTTCATACTCCTCTGCTTAGTCATGCTCAGATGGGGACCTTGTCTTATGCATCACTGAAAATTGAAGCAATTAAGCAAGAACTAATCACCTTCCCACCATCAACCTACCTTCACCTGTACCGTTTCTTATTACAGCAGAATAAACACATCTGTTCAAACCCCTCAATCACGCGTTAGATTCTGCTTCCTCTCTCCTAATCTCAGACATTGCTTCTGCAATTATTCACTGTTTCTCTTTTTTCTTTTCTTTTTTTTTTTTTTTTTGAGATGGAGTCTCGTTCTGTCGCCCAGGCTGGAGTGCAGTGGCGCATCTCAGCTCACTGCAACCTTCGCCTCCCAGGTTCAAGCAATTCTCTGCCTCAGCCTCCCGAGTAGCTGGGATTACAGGTGCCCTCCACCACACCCGGCTAATTTTTGTATTTTTAGTAGAGATGGGGTTTCACCATATTGGCCAGGCTGGTCTTGAACTCCTGACCTTGTGATCCACCCGCCTCGGCCTCCCAAAGTGCTGGGATTACAGGCGTGAGCCACCATGCCTGGCCTATTCACTCTTTCTTATGCAGCATGAGAAACCCTCTCGCAGTTCTCTATTCTCTTCACATCAAAATTTCTCAGAGTTGTCACAGGCATTGTTTGCACTTGTTCCCCTTTTATTCTCTGTCCAGCCCACTCGGGTCAGGTTTCCTTCTCTCTCCTCTGCAATAACACAATCTTACCAAAGCAAAAATAAACTATGCACTGGTCTTACTTGACCACTCGGCTGTATTTGACAGAATTAGCCACTTTCTCCTTCTGGAAATACAGCAGTCCCCCCTTATCCATGGGGGATGTGTTCCACCAAGACCCCCAGTGGATGCCTGAAACCATAAATAATACCAAACTCCATATTGACTGTTTTTTCCTGTTCATCCATACATATGATCAAGTTTAATGTATAAATTAAGCACAGTAAGAGATTAATACCAATAACTAATAACAAAATGAAACAATTATAACAATTTACTGTAATAAAACATATGTAAACGTGGTGCCCCTGTCTTTCTCTCAGAATAGTTTATTATACTGTATTCACCCTACTTCTTGTGATGAAGGGATGAAGTGGAATGGTGTGAGATTTCATCATGCCACCCAGAACATGTCATTTAAAATTTATGAGTTGTTTATTTCTGAATTTCCCATTTAATATTTTTAGACCACAGTTGAATGTGGATAACTGAAACTGTGAAAAGCAAAACTGTAGATAAGAGGTACTACTGGGAGCCAGGCACGGTGGTATACACCTGTAATCCCAGCACTTTGCCAGGCCAAGGTGGGCAGATCACTTGAGCTCAAGAGTTCAAGACCAGCCTGAGCAACATGGCGAAACGCCGTCTCTACAAAAAAAAACCAGCTGGGCATTGTGGTGTGCGCCTGTAGCCCTGGCTACTCGGGAGGCTGAGGCGAGAGGATGGCTTAAGCCTAGGAATTTGAGGCTGCAGTGAGCCAAGACTCCAGCCTGGGTAACAGAGTGAGACCCTGTCTCAAAACAACAAAAAAACAAGCAAACAAACAAACAAACAAAAACAAAAGAGAGGACCTCCATACAGGTGCTTTCTTCTCTTGGCTTGTTTGGCCAGTCTCTAGGTCTCCTTTCCAAGCACATTTCAGATGGGTCCCCCCTCACATAGCTGACCCCAGCATACAGAACTGGCTCCATCTTGTCGAGCTCTTTGTCCTTTCTTCCTATGGTTCTGCCTCACTGGCCTTCTGTCACACACACCAAACTCATTCTTGCCTCACAGGCTTTCTGTGTGCAGTTCCCTCTGCTCTGAGCATTCTTTCTCTGGACCTAAGCATGGCTAAAATCTCTGCTCAACTGTCACAGCCTCTACAAGGCCTTTTCTGACAGACATTTCTAAAGAAGGCCACCTCACCAATCTCAAACAATCAATGTGTTTTCTTCAGAGTACTTGTCACTATCTAATACAATTTTTTTTTTTTTTTTTGGAGACAAAGTGTTGCCCTGTGCGCCAGGCTGGAGTGCATGGCACGATCTCAGCCCACTGCAACCTCCACTCCTGGGTTCAAACAATTCTCCTGCCTCAGCCTCCCAAGTAGCTGGGATTACAGGCTCGTACCACCACTCCCAGCTAGTTTTTGTGTTTTTACTAGAGATGGGGTTTGACCACATTGGCCAGGCTGGTCTCGAACTCCTGACCTCAAGTGATCCGCCTGCCTCGGCCACCCAAAGCGCTGGGATTACAGGCGTGAGCCACCATGCCGGGCCTCTAATACAATCTTATTTATTTTGCATTTACATATTTATGGTCCGGCCCTGCCTGTGGAGTCCAAATGCTATGAATGAGGGTAACTTTGTCTGTACTATTCACTTTTGTCCCAGGCACCAAGAGCAGAGCCTGATATATAAAAAGGGTCTCAATTTTTGTTGAGTGGCTGATTGAATGGCTATGATAGAGCAACCAAAGTATAGTCTCCTAACTATCCCAACAGCACAGAAACCTTTGCCTCTGACCACATTCTGTGCCAGGGACTACAGACAGAGTCTATTATGTTTCTAATTTGTACTTTTTCCTGTCGTCAGGAATGTTTTAAACATCAAGTTTAAACATCAATTTTAAAACATTCCTCATAATAGGAAAAAGTACAAATTAGAAAAATAACTATGAAGGCCTTTGTTTCCATAAACATATTTCAGAACTCACCCAGAAATGTAATAATAAAATCCCTCCTGTTAACAATTAGGAAGGCACTATAGCATGGTGGATAATGGTGTAAGCTACTGGGTTGGACTGCCTGGATTTGAATCCAGCTCTACCACTTACTAACAGTGCAACTTTGCATAAATTCACCTCTCTGAGACTCCGTTTTTTCATCTGTCAATGTGAAAAATAAAATCAACGAGAGTTGATATGAGCATTAAACATCTTGATCCATTTGAAGAACTTCGATTGCTGCCTGACACTTGGTGACTGCAGTTAAAATTAGTCATGACTGTTATCTATCATCATTAATTTTATTAAGCAATAAACTTGAGTTGGGGACTCGGTGATGTGACCCTTGCAACACAGGACAGCTGAGACGCTACATGCCACCCCTGCTACACACACCCCTGCACACTCACACACATGGCAATCCTCCTACTGAAGGAGGTGCCACTGGGAAATTCCCTCCAGGACATGTCAGAAACCCTTCCTTCACAGTCCTGGACAGGGAAAATTCAGTTCCCTCCTGAAGATGGAAACAGCTGCTGTTGACACAAGTTACATGTGTATGTGCATTTACATGATGCAAATTCAACAAACACACTTACCCATAAAGAAAAAATAAATCTGAAATGGTGGTGGTGGGGGGGTCTAATCTGTTAGGAAAGTTGACAAATAAGGAAGTGAGAATTATGTAATATTTTTTTCATAAGCATTCTAATATAGGACCTTATTGTTTTAGTAAAAGACCTGAATATGTATGAATAATACAGTATTTCAAATACCGGTCTGAAATCTTGAGAAAAAATAATTTTTAAGAGGAACAAAAAGTATAATAGATACCTGATGAGTTGTCACAAAGTTGGCATATGTTCCAGCAAAAATGTGTTTGACTTGAACATCCACGAAGTCTAAAAGAAAGTCATAAATCCATGCTTAGAGTTTCTAGAAGTAAAAATAAATCTGATGTATTATCAAGCCAAAAATTTATTTACTTACTGGCAATTTATATTCTCCTAAATGGATTTTGACTACAAATGCATAAAAGATTAATTTTTTTCTTTTTTTCCCTCCCATCATATTGAAATAAAAGATCAGTTTTGATCAGATTACATGTCATATATTCACTTAGTCTAAAATTTAGTTTTTCATGCACTTGCATAATGCAGCCAGGTGGCCATGCTTTAGAAGAGATTTGATTAAATATATGAAAGTGGATTGTTCTGGTTGCTTCTTTACTTTCTTAATAAACTTGCTTTCACTTTATGGAAAAAAAGTGTATTGTTCTGATGTTTAAGTAATCAAGTTAGGATAGTCTTCTGTATTACCTTAATCTTTTTTATTTTATTATTTTATTTTATTTTTTTGAGATGGAGTCTCACCCTGTTGCCCAGGCTGGACGATCTCGGCTCACTGCAACCTCCACCTCCTTGGTTCAAGGGGTTCTCCTGCCTCAGCCTCCTAGGTAGCTGGGATTACAGGCTTGCACCACCACGCCCGGCTAATTTTTATATTTTTACTAGAGACGGGTTTCACCCTGTTGGCCAGGCTGGTCTTGAACTTACCTTAATCTTTAGAAATGATTACCAAATACCCTAAGAGTCACTGCATAAGAAAAAAATGCACCATATATATATGTACAGCCAGGCGCGGTGGCTCATGCCTGTAATCCCAGCACTTTAGGAGGCCGAGGCTGGTGGATCCCCTGAGGTCAGGAGTTCAAGACCAGTCTGACCAACACGGAGAAACCCCATCTCTACTAAAAATACAAAATTAGCCAGGCATGGTGGCGCATGCCTGTAATCCCAGCTACTCAGGAGGCTGAGGCAGGAGAATCGCTTGAACCCAGGAGGCGGAGGTTATGGTGAGCCAAGATCACGTCATTGCACTCCAGCCTGGGCAACAAGAGCGAAACTCCATCTCAAAAAAAAATAAATAAATAAAAATAAAAATAAAAGTACTAGGGGAACTACAGTTCTGTAGGATCCTTTGAAAGGAAGCTGAATACTAGTTCTCTTCCAGTGGCATTGATGAACACAAAATCATGAATTAGTGGGATTCACACCTTCAGCAGAAATCAGGCAGCTAATGTCAAAGTTCTCTGTCAGGGCCTCCGGATGAGTTGGCTTGCTTGTGTCACTTGGTCCATGACCAAAAGATACCACCTGACCAGTGGTGTGCACATATGCCAGGGTGTGATAACTACAGGAAAGAGAATACACCATAATGAAGACTAAGGCACTCATGGCTTTTGAGAAAGATGATGTCCCTTAAGACAAAATAACAAACACAAAAAGCCCAATTTACTTTTACTAAGTACGCAGCTCCCTTATCACAATGTCAGTGTTAGAGGGCATCAAAGGATGTGGCTAAACAGACGGTCAGTCAATATTAACTTACTACTAATCTTAAAAACAGAATGTTATTGATAGGTCTTTACTATGGTTTCTATCATTTGTGTTCTAAATGCAGGCATTTCTATTTTTTTTCTTTTTTAATGCATTGGGTAGATATTTAAACACTCAAAGTGTCCTCATAATTAGGTTACGCAGAACTCCGAAAATATATATGTAAATATACATCATCTTCTGCATGCATGAGATTAATTTACTTTAATTTTGTCTTATCAACTTAAGCAGGAAAGCTCTGCTATTTTTATCAATCTACTTCCCATTCTCCAGCACCTGGTACAGTGTTCTATACACAGTAGACTTCCAATTATTTCTTATTAAATAAATAAAATATCTAGAATAAAGATTAAAAACTGAAAAATTAAACTATATTTGAAATAAGTAAATTTTCAGGCAGGAATTTTAAGGTTTGATAACATTCCATATGAGTCATTTCTAAGTAATAAAATATAACACTTTCTACACATGCTAAGAAAAAGAAGAAGAAGAAGCCTATTACCTTCCACAATCTATCTGCGAAACTAGGCCATCAATTCTTTCCACAAGTTGTGGACCTCTCTTCTCAGGAGTGGGGCTGTATCCCAGCTGTCCAGAGCGATTGTCTCCAAATGTGAACACTTTCCCGTCCTGCTTAGCAAAGGAAGAATCAAATTAATTTCAGGTTTAACAAGGTAACTAAAAGCTTACTGATTAAGTGTCATACAAGAGTTAATACGGGAGCACTCTGTGAAACACAAGCTCTACATAAATAGGAGAGATCCTTTATTTTTTCTAATAGTGTATGTTGAGTTAACACATTAAACATGAAAAATCACTGGGGTCAGGCACAGTAGCTCACACCTGTAATACCAGCACTTTGGAAGGCTGTGGCAGGAGAATTACTTGAGGCCAGGAGTTTGAGACCAGCCTGGCCAATATAGCAAGACCCAATCTCTACACAAATTTAAAAAAAAAAAATCATTAGCATTTCCTTAAAAACTGGGCACCTTGGTGATGTATTGTACAGCATGGTGACTATAGTTAATAATGTGTTTCATATATGAAAATTACTAAGAGAGTAGATCTTAAAGATTCTAATCACAAAAAAAGATATGTATGTGAGGTGATACATATGTTAACTAGCTTGATTGTGGTAATCATTTCACAATGTACACAGGTATTAAAACATAATATTGTATAGCATAAACATATACAATTTTTGTCAATTATACCATAATAAAGCTGGAAAAAGAAAGAATTAGGTACTTAATAAGTCTTTATTGAATGAATAGATAAATTAACTGGTTCAAGAGTAAAACCAACATTTAAGTATGAGGTTGAATTTATTTGAGCATTTTCCTAAAAATACTGTCTTCCCAAAACATTCTATGATTACAAACAACTCTAGCTTTCTCTTTATTTCTATTTATTCTATTTATTTCTATTTATTCTTTATATTGAGAATAATATAATCCAAACAATTGAGGGTTTTCTAATTTAAGATATGCATTTAAAACAAACAAAAATAATTGGGGGCATATAGTTTTTAAACAAACATTTCAACTACACAAGTAGTTTTCAAGTCTATTCCTTATGGCTCCAGAAAGAATCCATCCCTTTGGAATATATTGTATGGTGAGGACAAGAATGGGAAGAAAACATTCAGGAAGCTGTGTCATACCTATGCCAAGCAAGAAATGAAATGAAATAATGTTCTAGGCTGTAAAGTGGATTATTGAAAACTGTAAAAATTACTTTGTTGCTTCTATAATAATTTTTATCTGTAGAATCACATTGTCAATGAATAATTGCTAAAGGGGCCGGGCGCAGTGGCTCATGCCTGTAATCTCAACACTTTGGGAGGCTGAGGTGGGTGGATCATTTGAGGTCAGGAGTTTGATACCAGCCTGGCCAACATGGTGAAACCCTGTCTCTACTAAAAATACAAAAATTAGCCAGGCGTGGTGGCACACGCCTGTAATCCCAGCCACTTGGGAGGCTGAGGCAGGAGAATTGCTTGAACCTGGGAGGCGAAGGTTGCAGTGAGCCGAGATTGCACCACTGCACTCCAGCCTGGGCGACTGAGCGAGATTCTGTCTCAAAAAATAATAATAATAATAATAATAATAATAATTGCTAAAAGGGATTAGTTCCTGTATTAACCTAATTTTTTTTTTTTTTTTTTTTTGGACAGGAGAGTCTTGCTGTGTCAACCAGGCTGGAGTGCAGTGGCACGATCTTGGCTCACTGCAACCTCTGACTCCTGGGTTCAATTGATTCTCCTGCCTCAGCCTCCCAAGTAGCTGGGACTACAGGTGCCCGTAACCATGCCCAGCTAATTTTTGTATTTTTAGTAGAGATGGGATTTCACTATGTTGGCCAGGCTGGTCTTGAACTCCTGACCTCGTGATCTGCCCGCCTTGGCCTCCCAAAGTGCTGGGATTATAGGCATGAGCCACCACACCCAGCTATTAACCTAATTTAGTAGGTATCTAAAGATACTTCCTAAAGCTGAAATTAGCTTTTGTTATGTATCTTGAAAACCTTATGATTTATGTTTGGTTCACATCTCCTCTTTAGATATGTGTACACTGAATGGCTCTGTCTAGATATTGGTATATATATCTTATGCTACAGTCTGAATGTTTGCATCCCCCCAGAATTCATATGTTGAAGTCCTAAACCTCAATGCCATGATATTAGGAGATGGGGCCTTTGATAAATGATTAGGTCATGAAGGCAGAACCCTCATCAATGGGATTAGTGCCCTCACAAAAGAGGCCCAGGAAGGACCCCTCACTCCCTTCACTATGTGAGGACACAGTGAAAATATGGTATCTGTGAATGAGAAGTTTGGCCCTCATCAGACATCAAATCTGCTGGCACCTTGATTTTGGACTTCCCAGCCTCCAGAACTATGGGAAATAGATCTCTATTGTTCATAAGCCACTCTTTTTATGGTATTTTGTTATAGTGGCCCAAATGGGCTAATGTCTCTGTCTTTCAACAATAATTAGTACATATGTATCTTGTTACCATTTCTCTGGAACTCAAAAAAATAGCAACACGTTTTGGATTACCTGGGTAAGCACCGCAGTGTGTGCATCACCACAGCTGATATAAACCACACCTAGATTCTTCAGTGCACCGACTGAGAGAGGCTTGTTGCTTTGCACTGTTGAAAGAAAGCAGAATCTCTAGAGTATAAGAAACAGACTCAGATTTCATGACTATTTACATTTTAATATCTTTTTATATTTCTTTTTTTGTGTAAGAGATATATTTTATTATTCTTATAATTCACTAACATAGTTTTCAGATTTCATGAGTATTTATATTTTTAATATCTTTTTTTTTTATGTAAGGGGTATCTTTTATATCTTTTCTTATTTTTATAATTCATTAACATAATTTTAAAAGTAAACAATCCGAAGTATAAGACAGAGGAAAAACCCTACCTTGGGAGAGAAAAAAAGAAGTGCTCCTTCAACATTTATTTCTGGAAGCTATCTAATCTTCCGGAATGCCCGAGGCTATTGACCTAGAAAGCTAAGCTTCAAGACCCTCATGCCTGATACTACTGCCATCTGTTGTATTCATTTGTCAACCTAAAATAACAACAGAGAGGCTCTCAAAGAACAAGTTTATTTGGGAATGAATGATGGGATTACAATCCAGGATATGCATGCCATAGCAGGCCATGGGCATATCTGGGGAGGTTGAGGCAAGGGGGAACTTCTAAAGGCAAAAAGGAGAAGTACACATAGGTTATTTCGAAACAAGTTCATTGGTTACAAGGAATTATTGCAGGCAGTGACATGTGTACTGGCCATTGCTAGAAGAGCGTCTTCAAATAAGCCACCCTGACTGCAAGGCTGCCATTTAGTAAGGTTACTTGCAAGGCTGCAGTTAGGAAACACTGCTACTGGAAAGACGTCCTCATAGAGGTGGCCTTAACTGCAAGGTTGTGGTTTTGGTAGAGTCCTCTGGGGTAGTTATTATCAGGCAGCTCTGTGTGAGGATCCTCCCTTCATGCCCCCAGGCCACCCAACTCCATTTTATTAGGGTTTGAAATAAGTGACTCCATATTGATTCTGACAATTTTCACATATTTCTGTCACACAATAGATGCTCTGCAAATGTATTATAAAAATTGAGATGATAAGAAAAACTGGTCAGGCATGGTGTCTCACACCTGTAATCCCAGTGCTTTGGGAGGTTGAGGCGGGTGGATCACTTGAGCGCAGGAGTTCAAAACCAGCCTGGGCAACATGGTGAAACCCCAAGGCTATTGACCTAGAAAGCTAAGCTTCAAGACCCTCATGCCTGATACTACAAAAAATACAAAAATTAGCTGGGTGTGGTGGTGTGTGCCTGTGAGCCCAGCTACTCGGGAGCTGAGATTCCAGTGAGCTGAGATCACACCACT
This sequence comes from Homo sapiens, assembly GCF_000001405.40. NCBI lineage: Eukaryota > Metazoa > Chordata > Mammalia > Primates > Hominidae > Homo > Homo sapiens. The sequence continues at coordinate 88,392,233 of NC_000004.12, read as the reverse complement.
GCACTCCAGCCTGGGCAACAGAGTGAGACCTTGTCTGAAGAAAAGAAAAGAAAAAAGAAAGAAGAGAAGGGAAGAGGACAGAAGGGAAGACAGGGGAGGAGAGGGGAAGGGAGGGGAGAGGGGGAACGGAAGGGGAGAAGGGGAGGGGGGAGTGGAGGGGAGAAGGGGAGGGGAGGAAGGGGGAGGGGAGGGAGGGAGAGAAGGGGAGGGGAGGGAGAGAAGGGGAGGGGAGGGAGAAGGGGAGGGGAGGGAAGGGAAAGGGAGGGGAAAGGAGTGGGGAGGGGAGGAAAAGGGAAAGGAAAAGGAAAGGAAAGGAAAGAAAAACTTAGCTAATGCTGAAATGGTGAAATGAAACAAGGTATAAGTGCTCAGCATGGGACTGGCACAGGTTAGGTGTTAACTGTATGTTAGCTGACTGTAAGGAATTGAATAGAGGAGGATGGAGTTTGTGGGGAGTACATCTTGACGAGTTTTGTGTTCAGAGGAACTGGTTGTTTAGAGAAGTTTTCTTTTGCCTAGAGGAACTGGTTGTTTGACCTAATGTTAGCAGTCTCCTAGTCCAGCAGTTTCTAAACTTTGCTGCAAATTGGCATCAACTGTGAGGTCTCTAATGACGATGGATGCTTCTGGGTTTCACCCCCAGACATTCTGATTTAATAGGTATGGGGTCTGACCTGGGCATCGGGATTTTTAAAGGATCCTATGGTAGGCTGAATAATGGCCTCCCAAAGAATAATGGTCTCCCACTTCCTAATCCTGGAGCCTGTAAATATGTTAAGTTACATGGCAGAGTGAAGTTACGGAAACCGATGGAACTAAAGTTGTTAATCAGTTGACCTTAAAACAAGGGAGATGCGCCTGGATTATCCAGGTGAGCACACTGTAATCAAGGGTCTTTTAACTGAGGAAGAGGGAGGCAGAAGAGTCTATGTGAAAGTAATGTGACTTGAGAAAGACTTGATCAGCCACTGCTAGCTTTGAAGAAGAAAGAGGTCTATGAGTCAATTAATGCAGGTGGCCTTTAGAAGCTGGGGAAGGCACGAAAATGGATTCTCCCTCAGAGCCTGTAGGGAAGAAGGTAACCTGCTAACACCTTGACTTTAGCACAGTGAGACGTGTGTCAGAATCCTGACCTCCAGAACTACATGATAGTACATTTGTGTTGTTTTAAGCTGCTAGGTTTGAGATGATTTGTTACCGCTACAACAAGAAACTAATATAGCTCCCTAGGCTATTCGAATGTGTCACAAGTTTGGGAACCACTGTTTTAAGCGTTAAGACTGCCCTTTGCCAAGTTGGTCTTCCACCTGGAAAGAAAGAATGATTTACTGCACAAACAAGACTATCTCCTTACCTGGGACATTACGCCCACTGAGGGCCAGCTGCCCGGCACTGTTACTTCCCCAGCCAAACGAAGTCCCACAGAGAGACAGGGCAAAGCTGTGAGCCCCTCCGGCAGCCACCTGAGCCAGTGGGATCCCCTCCAGGGACCTCACCCTCTGCGGGCTGGCTTGGGAGGGGAACTCCTTCCCCAAGCCCAGCTGCCCATGGCTGTTCTTTCCCCACGAAAACACTTGGCTATCTACAACAAAGACGAGAAATTAAGAATTGTACACATATTAGAATACCAAATTCAAATAGAAACTACTAATTCTACAAATCTTTTTTGTGGCTTTAATGAGGGATAATTGACAAATAAAAATTTCATCTATTTAAGGTATACAATATGATGAGCTGAAATACATATACATTGTTAAATGATTGTCGCAATCAGCTAATTAACATATCCATCACCTCACATAGTTACCTTTGTGTGTGTGTGTGGTGAGAATACTTAAGATCTACCCTCTTAGCAAACTTCAAGTATACAATGTACTATTATTAACTATATAGTCACATGGCTGTACATTAGAAATTACTCACCTTATAACTGAAAGTTTATACCCTTTGACCCACATCTTCTGATTTCCCCCCAACCCCCAGCCCCTGGCAACTACCTTTCTACTCTCTGTTTTTATTGAGTTTGACTTTCTTTTTTTTTTTTTTTTTTTTTTTTGATACAGAGTTTCATTCTGTCATCCAGACTGGAGTGCAGGGTGCGATCTTGGCTCACTGCAAACTCCACCTCCTGGTTTCAAGCGATTCTCCTGCCTCAGGCTCCTGAGTAGCTGGGATTACAAATGCGTGCCACCACGCCCGGCTAATTTTTGTGCTTTTTTAGTAGAGATGGGGTTTCACCATGTTGGCCAGGTTGATGTCGAACTCCTGACCTCAGGTGATCCACCTGCCTCAGCCTCCCAAAGTGTTGGGATTACAGGCATGAGCTACCGTGCCTGGCTGAGTTTGACTTTCTCAGATACTACAGCTAAGTGAGACCATGAGGTATTTGTCTTTCTGTGTCTGGCTTATTTCACTTAGCATGATGTCTTCCAAGTTGCAAATGGTAGGATTTCCTTCTATTTCTATTCTACTTCTATTTAATTTTACAAATCTTTAAAAGGTAAAACAGAGATGAAGAAAAAAATGAGATTAAAGTATCCCAACTAAAGGCAAGCGGGGCGGTCCAGGTCACCTTCAAAAGTCCCTTCAAACAATGTCCACTCTTCTCCCTCCAGTTAAGGGCAGCTGTGTTCTTTCAGCTGCTCAGGCCAAAAATCTTACAGATATCCTTAACTCTTCTCTTTTACACCCTTTGACCCAGAAAATTCAAAACTTCTACCCTCAAAATCTATCCAGAATCCAACCATTTCTCACCTCTCCACTGCTACCACCTTAGCCAAGTCACCAACTTTTCTCTCCTAAAAAATGACAATAGCACCTCACTGATCTCCCTGAGGCAACCTTTGCCCCCATCAGTTTGTTCTCCAAAGAATAGCCAGAGTGATCCTTTTAAAAATCTAAGTCCAACTGAATACTTCAGGAGCTTGCTGTCTCACTCAATGACGGACCAACTCCCATCACAGACCCCACATCACCAGTCTGGCCCACCCCCACTTCCCGGACTTCATCTCCCCCTGCTCACTCCTCTCAAGACCCTTTGCTATTCCTGGAGTACACTTCTGAGCATGCCCCAACCCCATGGCCTTTGTGTCTGGGTAATTCTTTCATGGTTAGCATCCTATCTCTCCCTCCCTTTTCATTTGGTTTCTGCTCATATGTCACCTTTTGAGAGATATCTTCCCTGACCGCCTCATAAACTAGAAAGACTCCTTTCCTCCACCCAGGTACTCACTCTCTGTCCCCTTACTCTTGAAGGGGTACCAAACCAATATATCTCATCCCACTTCTTTAACATATTTCAAGATGGCTATTCAGTAGGGCTGGAAGTGCAAGCATAGCTAAAAAGCTGTCTTTTGTGTGGGAGATTTGCACCTGTACAGAAAATCTGCATTGATGCAGGCAGGCTTTCTCTGAGGCCCTCCCGTGTCTGATCTAGGAAAGATTAACTGAGAGTCCCACACCTCTAAAGGTCTGGAAGAAACATTCACCATCTATTCTCTTTGAGGGCTGCTACCTGTAAGCCTTCATCTACACAACAGGACCACCTCTGCCTCAAGATGGTATATAAGCTTCTCTACCCCATTGGAGCATTGGGGTAATTGCTCTATGGTTCTCCCCTATGCATATTAATAAATTAATATGTCTTTTCTCCTATTAATCTGTCTTTTTTTTTTTTTTTTTTTTGAGACGAGTCTTGCTCTGTCACCCAGGCTTGAGTGCAATGGCACAATCCCAGCTCACTGCAACCTCTGCCTCCCAGGATCAAGTGATTCTCCTGCCTCAGTCTCCCAAGTAGCTAGGATTGCAGGTACCTGCCACCATGCCCGGTTAATTTTTGTATTTTTAGTAGAGACGGGGTTTCCTCATGTTGGCCAGGCTGGTCTTGAACTGCTGACCTCAGGTGATCCACCCACCTCGGCTTCCTAAAGTCCTGGGATTACAGGCATGAGCCACCGTGCCCAGCCTATATTTTTAGTAGAGACAGGGTTTCACCATGTTGGCTAGGCTGGTCTCGAACTCCTGGCCTCAAGTGATCCCCTTCCAGAGTGCTGGGATTACAGGCGTGAGCCACCGCACCCAGCCAGAAAAAAAAAATCTAATCTAAGCTTATCTAATGCCTAAGTATATACCCAGTGAAATGCTAACATATCTCAGAGATTTTTTAATAAGTTATTACATCTTTTATTTTTTAACTCTTCTAAAGTTAATTTCTAACACTAAAAATAATTTTGAGGGCAAAATGCAAAACGTTAAACTCTCACGAAGGTCTATGAGAACTCACCTTTCACCATAGCAAATGCATTGAATGCCTGGGCTCTGCCCAGACTTTACAGTCCAGACCAATGCAAAGGCAAGTCAGTGCCCCAAGGAAAGAATTCACACCATGTCCATAATTAAGAAGGAGTGTGAGAAAGGAAAAGACGTTCCTATTTATGGTGCCTCTGCTATATGCTAAGGACTGTACAAGGTATACAGGGTATCTTCTCTCACTCAATCTTCTAAATAACCTTCAAGTTAGGTATCAATATTCCCACAGATGAGAAAATTGAGACTCAGCCAAGTTAAATAACTTGCCCATGATCAAACAGCTAGAAATGACAGGTAGAAGGAATCACACAATGGCCACGGGATATGCCCTGGATTTGTAGTCAGTGCAGCGTAGTAGTTAAGCACTTAGGGTTGAGACCTAAACACTATAGGTTCAAATCCTGACTATTCTGTTTCTTAGTGTGTAACTTTGGGTAAATAATTTAAAATCCCTGAACTCAATTTTTTCCATTTCTGAAATGAGGATATAAATCATACCCTGCTCCTGTTTTCGTTTGTTTTTCTTTTTCAGAAACAGTCTTACTCTGTCGCCCAGCCTGGAATGCAGTGGCACAATCATAGCTCACTGCAGCTTCAAACTCCTGAGCTCGAGCACTCCTCCAACTTCAGCCCCCTGATTAGTTGGAACTACAGGTGCATACCACCATGCCCAGCTAATTTTTCAAATTTTTGTAGAGACAGGATCTCACTATGTTGGCCAGGCTGGTCTCAAACTCCTGGCCTCAAGTGATCCTCCTGCTTCAGCCTCCCTAAGTGCTGGAAATACAGGTGTGAGCCACTATGCCCAGCCCAGTTCATGTGTTTGTAAGGTAATTATGTGAAAAAACACACATAAAACATTTAACATGGCAGCTGGCACATAGAAGCTGACCAATAAATGTTAGCTGTCCATAGACCATGGCACAGTTGCAATGACACATAAGACATTACCTGAGGAACATACAAATGTTATAGTCCTTTGAAGGGGGTCAGGATATGCCACACCAAAATATGCTACTTTGGCATAAGGATTGTTTTGAGTTGAAGGCAATTGAGAATTAAGAGATGCAGGAAGAGGTTTCTGCCCCTCTCTTACCTGCCTAAAAGCAAGGCATAAGTTTCCCTTTGTGGAGTTATCTCCACTCTACTGTACCAGGGAGAGAAGAGTAACTTTTATCACTGAAGACAATGAAGCAGCACTGAGATGAATCTGCAGAAACGAATCTTACTAAAATATCCCGTATCTTCCATTGGTTTCCCTATATATTTCCTAGTCACTTTCCCACAATTTATTATCCCTTGAAGCCCAAACTCCCTTTTTTTGTTAAAACAGTATGTAAGTTCCTGAGTCTAACCACTACTTTTAGTTTCACTTATTTTCTGTGAACTCTTGTGCACAAAAATATTAATATAAATTGGGGACCGGGCACAGTGGCTCACGCCTGTAACCCTAGCACTTTGGGAGACCAAGGCAGGTGGATCACTTGAGGTCAGGAGTTCGAGACCAGCCTGGCCAACATAGTGAAACCTCGTCTATACTAAAAATACAAAAATTAGCCGGGCATGGTGGCGCACACCTGTGATCCCAGCTACTTGGGAGGCTGAGGCAGGAGAATCGCCTGAACCCAGGAGGTGGAGGTTGCAGTGAGCTGAGATCGTGCCACCACACTCCAGCCTGGGTGACAGAACAAGACTCCATCTCAAAAAAGAAAAAAAAAAAAAAAAAGAAAAGAAAAAAGATAAATTGGGTGCCTTTTCTCTTTTAATCTGTCTTCTGTTAATTTAATTTGCAGGTTCCCAAAGACTACGCATAAGAGGGTAGAGGAAAAATTTTTCCTCCTTCAGACTCTCCATTGAGAAATTTGGATTGAGGGTGGACAAAGGAGGGTGGAGGTTGGTAGAAAAAGTGTAGATGTACAATTGTTATGTGTCAATAAAAATAAATAAGTAAAAATTTTTAAAAAGAAAAAATATAGAGTCATGATTTTGACACCTTGACTTCTCTTTCTTTGATCTAAGTGAAATAGACAAATAAGTCTGCCAGTGTGGACAGGCCATTCAGCATAAAGAGCAAAGGGCTGGAAATAAAGCCACTACTAAGCTCTGAGAGAGTTGGCCAGTTAGGTCAAATAACCAGAGACAGCCCCTTATGGCACTATGAATTAGGCACTGTTTAGAGTATAATTAGGACCAAGAAATTTGAGAAAAAAATAGGAAAACAATATATCTTATGAAACCTGGGGAATGAAAAACTTCTAAATGAACCCCAGTGCATTAAAAATCAGCAGCTATAATTCCTATTCAAAAAATTACTTCCTACTCACACTCAGATCCAAAAAGTGTTTCTTACCTTTTGATAATGCCAGGGAGTGGTAGTGTCCACAGGAAACTTGTATTATTTTTATATCATTCAGAGTCATTATTTTCCTATAATACAAATAATACAAAATTGATTAATCCTTATTTAGAGCGAGTTGTCCGGTGGACTACAGATATTTAAAAGTATCTCAAATAATACATCTGGTCCAGGAAAACTATTTTATTTTCTTGTATTTCTATAGTACCTTTATTTCAAAGCCCTCAAACTGTTTTTAACATGACATTAACATGTACCAAGTTATAGGACAGAATCCAAAACAGTATATAAATGCAAAAGCCATTGCTATTGGACTTTAATGCAATATCTAATATACTAATTTTATTCTACACTTAATAGCCTAAAAGAGAAATAAATTTTTTCTGCATATATAGTATAGGGCCTTAGAATTTATAGAACACCAACAACTTCATCATCTAATTTAAGCCCTAATTTAATGAAGAAATCATTAGGTTAAATCATACAAAATTGCCATTTTTGTGGATCAAAACCAGATAACTATCAGCAATTTCCTTTTTTTTTTTCACAGACGGAGTCTTGCTCTGTCACCCAGGCTGGAGGGCAGTGGTGCGATCTTGGCTCACTATAACCTCCTCCTCCCGGGTTCAAGTAATTCTACTGCCTCAGCCTCCCAAGTAGCTGGGATTACAGGCATGCACCACAACGTCCGGCTATTTTTTTTTGTATTTTTAGTATAGACGAGGTTTCACCATGTTGGCCAGGCTGGTCTCGAAATCCTGATCTCAGGTGATCCGCCCACCTTGGCCTGCCAAAGTGCTGGGATTACAGGTGTGAGCCACTGCACCTGGCCACTATGAGCAATTTCATAAGGTGAATCTAATGGAACTCAAAGAGGTCAAATAGTTATGATGCTGTAGAACCAGACTCAAATTCTGGTCTTTTCATTCCAAGTTCAATGCTCATTTCCCCAAGTCAAATTGATCTCTTCTAGAATTTAATGACCAGAAGAGGTAACAAGAGGTGATTTCCTAATATTAAAAAGCATGCGTTTGAAAATCCCCTAAGTATGTAATTCATAAACACATAATCCAGAGCCAACTACTTGTCATATCTGTCCTGGGAAGTTGTTTGTGAGGAAATGTGATATTTCCCTCCACTTTACTAAGTAAAATGTTAGGGCCCAGTGGTTTATGACAAGCCAAAAGGTTGTGTTGAGAAAAAAACTTCTCTTCCACCTTTGGTCCAATATTTGGGGGCTTGCAAATTAACTGACAATAGATTAACAAGAGAAAAGACAAAGGTTATTTACAAGCATGCTCGCTATTGCAGAATATCCCAAAGTAAAGTTTTATATATGTCACCTTAATAAAAGGCGGGGTTTTGGGACTTCAGTGGGAAAGTATAGAAGGTTCTATTGGGCTTTTTGATGGTAATAGTAATGGGTGGTCTATCTTAATGACAACTGAATTCCCAGGAAACTCTCACTCAAGGAAGTTACTGGGAACTGCATTTTCAGGAGGCTCTGTTTTAGTATGATAAAGGAAGTTCAGGTAAGATTTATATCTGTATCTTTTGCAGCTCAAATGTTTCTACTTTACAGTGGTCTTTATACCCACTCTGGAGGTCTAAGTTGGCCCCCACAGTTATATTCCAAGAGATAAGATTAAGATCAAAGGGTCACATCTCATTTCACTCTGCTCTAATTAAATAATAATTGGTGTTGTAGGTTTTTTCCTCCCTTCTTCCCTCACTACACTGTAGTCCTTCAGGTTAGGAACTGTGTTTGTCATAGTCTTTTTTTTTTTTTTTTTTTTTTTTTTTTTTGAGACTGAGTCTCCCTCTGTTGCCCAGGCTGGAGTGCAGTGGCGCTGTCCCAGCACCACTGCAACCTCTGCCTCCCAGGTTCAAGCGATTCTCCCGCTTCAGCCTCCTGAGTAGTTGGGATTGCGGGTGCCTGACACCATGCCCGGCTAATTTTCTTGTGTCTTTTTTGTAGAGAGGGGCTTTCGCCATGTTGACCAGGCTGGTCTCAAATTCCTGACCTCAAGTGATCTGCCCACCTTAGCCTTCCAAAGTGTTGGGATTACAGACATGAACCACTGCAGCTGGCCTGTCATAGTCGTCTTTGTATCCTGGCATCTTGCACAGTGCCTGGCACATGGTACTATATATATTGAATAAATGAAGGAGTGGGTTGAAACACTTACTTAGGTGTGAAACTTATTTCCTTGAATTCTCCAATCCCCAGCTGCCCTTCAGAACCAGCTCCCCATGCGAAGACCCTTCCTTTGTGGCACACAGCCAGGGAGTGCTCCTTCCCGCAGCTCACGAGATCAACAATTAGGGTTTCCAATGCCTGAATTGGTTCTTTGGGAAACAAAACAAAACACCCCCCAACCACCACTGCAGATTATTAATTTAACACAAGTTTAAGACAGCACTTTTCTTCAAAAAGAAGGATCATCCAGATTTCTTGTCTCCTCCAATGGTCTTTTGAATCAAGACCTTAAGTCCATTCTAAATGTCTGAAGGAAGTAAATTCAATGTATGTTACCCTGTCTTTATAGGATACAGCTCTGTTAAAATAATCAACAGGGAGACTATCAGGTTGAGATGGCTCCAGCACCTTGGGTTCCTACCTAAGCAAACCAAAACCCAACTCAGAGTGATTGATCATAGCCTAGGAAAATGAAACTTAAGGTTAACCAATCAGAAACCACCAACTAACATCTAACTAGAGACTTTACCAACCAGAAACTGCTGACTACTTCAAACAAGGGACTTTCCACTTTAACCAATCAAGTATTTTCTTTGTCTTGCTTCCTGGAACACGTTATCAAAGGTTCCCCCTGGCATCTCCTTGCACCTCCCTTAGTGGAGCCCAACTGCTTGAGGTCTGGTGCTGCTCAATTCATGAACTGCTGAATGTTCAAATTGACTCTTAAAAACATTCAATTACCCAAGTCTATCTTTTAATGGCTGTTATTTAAAGGAGTAGGCATCACGGAGGGGGTAACTTCTAGGGACTATGACACATGACCAAATGTTTCTCTAGCAAAACCTAGCAAAATAAAGAGACCCAGAAAAAAGTTGGGATCTCCTCCATTTTGCTATTCTGTCTTCCCACCCTAAACACTGAAAGCAGTGAATCCCTTGCTCAGAAGGAAATTGGAAGGGAGCCTACCTCATGAGTGTGAGAGGCAGATGCTGGATCCTCTTACAATGAAAAGTGAAAAATATGCCCCTATGGAGGCCCTAAATATGCCCACAAATGAAAACCGGATCACATTTCCCTACAAGCCAACCTAAACTGCTTTCCCAAGGTGTCTGTCTCTGAATTATTAGAGGTTTGGAGTTGAGAACATCATACCAGTAAAGTTTTTGCAACATTTAAGATTTTGTTTTTCCTTTTATCTTTGTAATCTTATCTTTTTCAACTATTTACTGTCAATTTATGCAAGGTTAAAATTTCCCAAAGATTCATGCACTCACAAAGATAGAAATTGGTACCATTTTTCTAGAGAACAATTTGGGGTTAAGTATCATGTTGCCCTTCATTTCCAAATGAGGGTGATAAGACCTGAAAACATGCTACTTTAAGAATTTGAGCTGAAGGCAATTGAGAATCAACAGATGCAGGAAGAGGTCTCTGCTCTCTTCTTATCTACCTAAAAGTAGGTCATAAATATCCTTTTGTGAGAAGCTCCCATCTCTGGCACCAAGAAAAGGGTCAGCCGGGCGCAGTGGCTCATAACTGTAATCCCAGCACTTTGGGAGGCCGAGGCGGGTGGATCACGAGGTCAGGAGTTTGAGACCAGCCTGACCAACATAGTGAAACCCCGTCTCTACTAAAAATATAAAAATTAGCTGGGCATGGTGGTGAGTGCCTGTAATCCCTGCTACTTGGGAGGCTGAGGCAGAAGAACCGTTTGAACTGGGGAGGCGGAGGTTGCAGTGAGCCGAGATAGTGCCATTGCACTACAGCCTGGTGACAGGGCAAAACCCCATCTCAAAAAAAAAAAAAAAAAAAAAAGAAGAGAAGGGTCACCTAAGATGAAGACTTGGCACTGAGGTGAGCCTGCATAAACAAGTCAATTAAAATAACCCTTATCTTCCATTAGATTTTCCCATATATTTTCTAGTCACTTTCCCTGAGTTCATCATCCTTTAAAGTCCAAACCCCCTTTTCTTTGTTAAACATGGTACACAAGCTCCTAAGTCGAAGCACTTGAGTTTCACTTCTATTCTGTAAATTCCCACGCATGTAAATTCCCCTATATGTAAAAGATTAATAAAATTGTATGCTTTTTCTCCTGTCAATCTGTCTTTTGTCAGTTAAGTTTGCAGGACCCAGCCGCTGAACCTAAGAGGGTAGAGGAAAAATTTTCCTCCTCCACACACCTTTTGAAACTATTCTCAGCAGGTCATCAAAAATGTAGTCAAATATTTGCTTACGAGAATATCAATCAGTATTATTTATAAAAGCCCCTAGTGGGAAACAATCTAATTTCCACAAAAAGAGAATAATTATGGTACTCTCAGAGTTTAGAATGTTATGCAGCAATTTAAAACATATTTTCAAAACATACAAAATGAAAGGGTAATATGTTCATAAGATTATGCTTGATGAAAACACAATGTACAGAGTTGCATAAATACTGCATATACAAATCTATAATGACATGATTTTTATAAAGATTAAATATGTACATAGAAAAAAGTAGACAAGGAGAAAATGCATCAAAATGTTAGGAGTTATCTTTGGGTGTTGGAGCTACGGTGATTGCTTTCTCGTATTTCTACAATAATCCATAACGATTATTGTATTATCTCACATATATAATATATATATTTATTATTATTATGTTTTTTGAGACAGAGTCTTGCTCTGTTGCCAGGCTGGAGTGCAGTGTCGCGATTTCGGCTCACTGCAACCTCTGCCTCCCGGGTTCAAGCGATTCCCCTGCCTCAGCCTCCCAAGTAGCTGGGACTACAGGCGCCCGCCACCACGCCCAGTTTATTTTTTGTATTTTAGTAGAGATGGGGTTTCATCATATTGGCCAGGGTGGTCTCGATTTCCTGACCTCGTGCTCCGCCCGCCTCGGCCTCCCAAAGTGCTGGGATCACAGGCGTAAGCCACCGCGTCCGGCCTATTATGTGTATATATATATATTTATATATTATATATATATATTTATATATTATATATATATATTTATATATTATATATATATTTATATTATATATATATTTATATATTATATATATATTTATATATTATATATATATTTATATATTATATATTTATATATTATATATATTTATATATTATATATTTATATATTATATATATTTATATATTATATATTTATATATTATATATATATTTATATTATATATATATTTATATATTATATATATATTTATATATTATATATATTTATATATTATATATATTTATATATTATATATATTTATATATTATATATATATTTATATATTATATATATTTATATATTATATATATTTATATATTATATATATATTTATATATTATATATATTTATATATTATATATATTTATATATTATATATATATTTATATATTATATATATTTATATATTATATATATTTATATATTATATATATATTTATATATTATATATATTTATATATTATATATATTTATATATTATATATATATTTATATATTATATATATTTATATGCTATATATATATTTATATATTATATATATTTATATGTTATATATATATTTATATATTATATATATTTATATGTTATATATATATTTATATATTATATATATTTATATGTTATATATTTATATATTTATATATTATATATATTTATATATTATATATTTATATATTATATATTTGTATATATTTATATATTATATATATTTATATATTTTATATATATATTTTTATATATATATATTTTTTAATGCCCCAGTGTATTTCTAAGGGAGATACAGGTGTCTGACCCACAAACCACGTTTGTAAGGTCAGGCTGCCTTCTCCAGGTAGAACCGCGCAGGCGAGGATTTATCTGCAAGGCAAGCCGGAGGGACCACATCTCTTTCCAGAGCAGCGCTGACCAGGTTAGTTTCGGCTCTCAGTTTCGCTTTGAACTTGAATTGGAAACCGAAACAAATCCGAGGGGCGTTGGGAAAACGAAACTGAGGAAGTTGCTCTTCGGTAGCACAGGGCACCATTTTCCTGGTTCCTGTGGCTCTTCGGGCCCCGAGGAATCCAAGGCTCCCAGCACCCCTCCCTGCCTGGCCCGCGGCGCCCAGCATCTGAGCCGCTCCCTGCACCTGGGCCCCCGCGCCCCTCACCCGGGTCCCAGCGCTCCGCACCCGGTTCCCTGCGCCCGGTACCCAAGCCCCCGCGCCCATGTACTGGGGTCCTCACACCCTGCACCTGGGGCCCCCCGCTCACCTGGCAGCTCCCCGCGCTGCGCGCCCCTGCGGCCCAGCTGACCCCTGCTGTTGTCTCCGCACGAGAGGACCCTGTGGTTGGTCAGCAGCAGCAGAGAGTGGCGCTCCCCGCTGGCCGCCTGCAGTAGCTCAGCCCCGGGGCTGCCCGCCGTCCTCCGGCGCTGCAGCTCCCTGGAGTCGGCGCCCCAACAGAAGTACATCCCGCTTCTGCGCCCTGTCGCCTGCTCCGGATTCCGTCGGTCCCGCTGCGACAGGCTCCCGAACGCTGGTGACTGGGTGCGCGATGATTTCCTGAATATCAAGAGACTCACCCTGTCTTCAACCCGCCCCAGGGGCGCAGCCCTGGCCCCATGTCAACTCTCGCTGCCTGAACTTCAAGTGCTGAAGAGCAGAGAGGGCGTCCCAGGGAATAAAACTGAGTTTACATCCTAAGCCATTTATGAGTCGTGAATGCCACTTTGGGCAAGTTACCTAATGATTCCGTGCTTCAGCTATCATATCTACGAAATATGGACTGCAATTCAGCAAATCTAATATGTCGGGATAATTTAATAGGCACATAAAGTGTTAGAATAATACCTAGAGTGGTTAATAAAGCATCTGAGTGCCCACCTCATTCCAGACCTTTTTTGGCATTGAAAATATGTTTGTTTTTTGTTTGTTTGTTTGTTTGTTTGTTTGAGATGGAGTGTCGCTCTGCTGCTCAGGCTGGAGTGCAGTGGCACCATCTCGGCTCACTGCAACCTCCACCTCACGGGTTCAAGCTGATTCTCTTGCCTCGGCCTCCCGAGTAGGTGGGATTACAGGCATGCGCCACGACGCCCGACTTAATTTTTGTATTTTTAGTAAAGATGGGGTTTCACCATGTTGGCCAGGCTGGTCTCGAACTCCTGACCTCAAGTGATCCACCCCTCAGCTTTCCAAAGTGCAGGGATTACAGGCGTGAGCCTCTGGGCCCCGCCTGAAAATACAATTAGTGAAAGACAAGATCCTCTTGATGCGTTTACATTCTCCTGAGGGAAAGAGAACATAAACAGATAAACACATAGTGTAATATCAAGGGGCAACGAAAAATACAACAGGAACCAGAGGGTGGAGGCGGAAGGCACTGGTATTTGAGATGATATTAGGGAAGATCTCTCTGATGAAGTGATATTTGTGCAGAGAGCTGAGGGGACATGGGAAATGAGGGAATGAGTCGTGATCACACCTGAGGGCAGAGGATGAAAAGAAGCAGTTGGAAGGTTTTGAATAGAGAAGAGCCATGATCTGACTTCAGTTTTTAAAGATTCATCTGGCTGCTGTGTGAAAAATAATAGGACAAAAATGGAAGCAGAAAGCCAGTTAGCAGAGACTACTTCAGAGTTCAGGTCAGGTGATATCCTAGAAGGGAAGAGAGGAGAAGTTATTAGATTCAAGACATGTTTTGAAAGTAAGAGTCCACAGATTTGATGATGGATTAGAAATTGGGGGGAAAGAAGAAAAGGGATTAGGGATTACTCCAGGGTTGGCTTTAGGGGTTACTCCAAGGTAAACTCTACTGGACTGGGAAACCCTGAGGAAGGTGCAGGTTTAAGCTATGTGTGTCTGGAATACAGATTGGTAATGATAACTGTAAGATGCTTGTTAATCAAGAAGGCAATAGGATAAACTGTTTTGGAGTTGTAGAGAGAAGCTTGGGTGTAGTCAGAAAATTGGGAGCCATCAGTGTAGAGGTGATGCTTAAAGCCAGATGGCTGAATGAGAACACCCAGGGGGTGAATGTGGTGACAGTATAGCAGAGGCTAGAGGACTGATCATAGGAGGAAAACCAGGAGGAGGAGTTATAGACAGAGCAAGTAACGAATAAAGGAAGGATCAACTCTGTCAATTTCTTGTGGAGCAAGGTAAGGATTGAGCACTGATTTTTATTTATTTATTTGTTTGTTTGTTTGAGATAGAGTTTCCGCTCTTGATGCCCAGGCTGGAGTGCAATGGCGTGATCTCAACTCACAGCAACCTCCGCCTCCCAGGTTCAAGCAATCCTCCCGCCTTAGCCTCCCAAGTAGCGGGACTACAGGCACGTGCCACTACGCCCAGCTAACTTTTGTATTTTTTGAAGAGATGGGGTTTCATCATGTTGCCCAGGCTGGTCTTGAACTCCTGACCTCAGATGATCTGCCTACCTCAGCCTTCCAAAGTGCTGTGATTATAGGCCACCATGTCCCGCTGAGCACTGGTTTTTAGATTTGGTAACTTTGATAATGTTAGCCATCATCAGCATTATTGATTTTTTTTTAAAAGAAACTATTACAGAACCTATTTATGTAATTTCAATTCACCACTCTTCATGACCATGTTTCAAGTTCTTTAAAGAGAAGAACAAATGTTCTTTATTTTTCTACCTCAAGAGTACCTGGAACTTGGTAGATGCTAATAAGGGTATGTCGGACAATTGGATTGATGAGTAGTGAGTCAGTGGATAGTATTAGTATTTCTGGTTCTGTTTTGCTGTATACCAAATATAACCTTTTTCTGAATAGTAATTTCTTAATGTTTATTTCTTTTCTCAAGCACAAAATGTAGGAGTTTGGTATTATTACCATAAGATACTGAGCCCTCAAATTAAGTTATTTCTTTAAAAAAAAATTTTTTTTTGAGACAGAGTCTCGCTTTGCCACCCAGGCTGGAGTGTAGTGGCACGATCTCAGCTCACTGCAACCTCCACCTCCCCGATTCAAGCGATTCTCCTGCCTCAGCCTCCTGAACAGCTCAGATTACAGGCGGGCACTATCACACCTGGCTAATTTTTGTATTTTTCGTAGAGATAGGGTTTCACCATGTTGGCCAGGCTGATCTCGAACTTCTAACCTCAAGTGATCCGCCTGCCTCAGCCTCCCAAAGTGCTGGGATTACAGGCGTGAGCCACCACTCTTGGCCTAAAAAATCTTTTATTGATACATAATAGATGCACATGTTTTGGGGGTACATATGATAATTTGACACATTATCAAATTGGGATATCTATCGCCTTAAATAATTTATCTTGGGCTAGGCACAGTGGCTCATGCCTATAATCCTAGCACTTTAGGAGGCCGAGATGGGAGGATCGCTTGAGCTCAGGAGTTGGAGACCAGCCTGGGCAACATGGTGAAACCCCATCTTTACAAAAAATAGCTGGGTGCAGTGGCACATACCTGTAGTCCCAGCTACGTGGGAGGCTGAGGTGGGAGGATTGCTTGAGCCCGGAGCCTGGGAGGTGGAAGGTGCAGTGAGCCCAGATCGTGCCACTGCACTCCAGCCTGGGCGACAGAGCCAGACCCTATCTCAAAAAAAAAAAAAAAAAAAAAAGGAACATTCAAATTATTATTGGCTAGTGGTTTTGAAATGTACCTATAGTCATTCTACTGAGCTATTGAACCAGGTCTTATTTCTTCTATCCAACTGTATATTTGTACCCATTAATCAACCTCTCTTCATTTTCCTCACCCCTACCCCTACTCTTCCTGGACTCTGGTTACCAACAATGTACTCCTTATCTTCATGAGATTCACTTTTTTTTTTTTTACTCTCTGACATATGAGTGAAAACACGTGATAATTGTCTTTCTGTGCTTGGCTTATTTCATTAACATAATGACCATTCCACCCATGTTGCTGCAGAAATGACAGAATTCCATTCTTTTTTTATGGCTGAACAATATTTCATTATGTATATGTACCACATTTTCTTTATCCATTCATCTATTGATGGGCACTTAGCCTGATTCCAAATTTGGGCTATTGTGAATAGTACTGCAGTAAATGTGGGAGTGCAGATGTCTCTTTGATATATTGATTTCCTTTCTTTTGTATATACACAGAGTAGTGAAATTGCTGAATCATATGGTATTTCTATTTTTAGTTTTTTGAGGAACCTCCATACTGTTCTCCATAGTGGCTGTACTAATTTACATTCCCACCAACAATGTATGAAATGTACATCAACAGTGTACGTTTCTTTACATCCTCACCTGCATTCCTTATTCCCTATCTTTTGGTAAAAGCCATTCTAGCTGTGGTGAGATGATATCTCATGGTTTTGATTTGCATTTCTATGAAGATTAGTGATGTTGAGCATTTTTTCTTATACTTGTTGGCCATTTGTATGTCTGCTTTTGAGAAATGTCCATTCAGATCATTTGCCCTTTTAAAATCAGATTTTTTTTTTTGCTGTTCAGTTATCTGAGCTTCTTATAATAATATGGTTATTAATCCCTTGTCAGACAGATAGTTTACAAATATTTTTCTCCCATTCTGTGGGTTGTCTCTTCACTTTGTTGAGTTTCCTTTGCTGTGGAGAAGCTTTTTCGCTTAATGTAATCTCACTGGTCTATTTTTGCTTTTGTTTCCTGTGTTTTTGAGATCTTCCACAAAATTTTTTGCCCAGAGCAATGTCCCAAAGCATTTCCCCAATGTTTTCTTCTAGTAGTTTCACATCTTATATTGTCTTTAATTAACTTTGATTTGATTTTTGTATATGGGTCTAGTTTCTTTCTTTCTTTTTTTTTTTTTCTGAGATGGAGTTTTGTTCTTGTCTCCCAGGCTGGAGTGCACTGGCACAATCTCTGCTCACTGCAACCTCCACCTCCCAGGTTCAAGCAATTCTCCTGCCTCAGCCTCCTGAGTAGCTGGGATTACAGGCCTCTGCCATCACGCCCGTCTAATTTTTATATTTTTAGTAGAGACAGGGTTTCGCCATGTTGGCTAGGCTGGTCTCGAACTCCTGATCTCAGGTGAACCATTCGCCTCGGCCTCCCAAAGTGCTGGGATTACAGGTGTGAGCCACCACGCCCGGCCAGGGGTCTAGTTTCATTCTTCTGCATGCAGAAGTTTTCCCAGCACCATTTATTGAAGAGACTGTCCTTTCTCCATTATATATTTTTGGCTTCTTTGTCAAAAATGAGTTGGCTCTAAGTGTGTGGATTTATGTCTGAATTCTATATTCTGTTCCATTGATCTGTGTATCTGTTTTTATACTAATATGCTGATTTGGTTACTAGCTTTGTAGTACATTTTGAAGACAGGTAGGGTGATGCCTACAGCTTTGTTCTTATGCTTATTGCTTTGGCTGTTAATGGTCTTCTATTTAAAAAAAATAATAATAACTTTTATTTCCCTGAAAAAAGTCATTGGAATTTTGATGGGAATTGCATTAAATCTATAGATTGCTTTGGATAATATAGACATTTTAACAATATTGAATCTTCGAATCCATGAGCATTAAACATCTTTCTACTTTTTGTCTTTTCTTCCTTCCTTTCCTCTCTCTCTTTCTCTGTCTCTTCCTCTCTTTCTTTCTTCTGAGTCTCACTCTGCCACCAAGGCTGGAGTGCAGTGGCACCATCTCGGCTTACCACAACCTCCACCTCCTGGGTTCAGGAGATTCTCATGCCTCAGCCTGCCGAGTAGCTGAGATTACATGCGTGTGCCATCACGCCTGGCTAACTTTTGTATTTTTACTACAGACAGGGTTTCACCATGATGGTTAGGTTGGTCTCAAACTCCTGGCCTCAAGTGATCCACCTGCCTCAGCCTCCTAAAGTGCTGGGATTATAGGTTTGAACCACCATGCCCAGCCCCTCTTCAATTTCTTTAATCAGTGTTTTATAGTTTTCTTTGTATAGATCATTTTGGTTAAATTGATTTTTAATTATTTTATATTCTTTTAGCTATTGTAAATGGAATTGCTTTCTTGAATTCTTTTTTATATTGTTTGCTGTTGGTTTATATAAATGCTACTGGTTTTGTATGTTGATTTTGTATCATGTCACTTTAATGAATTTGTTTATCAGTTGTTTTTGGTGGAGTCTTTGGGTTTCCTAAATATAATATCATGTCATCTGTGAAAAAGACGAATTTAACTTCTTTCTTTCCAATTTGGATGCTCTTTATTTCTTTCTTTTGCCTAATTGCTTTGGCCAGAACTTTCAGTATTATGTTGAATAAAAATGGTGAAAGTGGGCCGGGCGCGGTGGCTCACACCTGTAATCCCAGCAATTTGGGAGCCTGAGGTGGGTGGATCACCTGAGGTCAGGAGTTTGAGACCAGCCTGGCCAACATGGTGAAACCCTGTCTCTCCTAAAAATACAAAAATTAGCCTGGTGTGGTGGTGCATGCCTGTAATCTCAACTACTCGGGAGGCTGAGGAAGGAGAATCCCTTGAACCTGTGAAGCAGAGGTTGCATTGAGCTGAAATCATGCCACTGCACTCCATCCTGGGTGAAAGAGTAAGACCTTGACTCAAACAAACAAAAAACAAAAAAGGTGAAAATGGGCACCCTTGTCTTATTTCAGATCTTAGAGGAAAGGTTTTCCAGTTTTTCAGTTCAGTATGATATTGGCTGTGGGTTTGTCATATATGGCTTTTATTATTTTGAAATACGTTCCTTCTATACCCAGTTTTTTGATTTTTTATCATAAAGGAATGTTGAATTTTACCAAATGCTTTCTCAGCATCTATTGAAATGATCATGTGGTTTTTTTGTTCTTGCTTCTGTTAATGTGATATATCACATTTATTGATTTTTGTATGTTGAACCATCTTTGCTTCCCTGGGATGAATCCTACTTGATCACTCTCTTTAATGATCACTCTCTTTAATGAGTGAATAATCTCTTTAATGTGTTGTTGAATTTGGTTTGCTTGTATTTTGCTGAGGATTTTCGTATCTATGTTTATCAGGCATATTGGCCTGTAGTTTTTGTTGTTGTGTCCTTGTCTGGTTTTGGTATCAGGGTAATGCTGGCCTAGTAAAATGAGTTTGAAAGTATTCTCTCCTTTTTCATTTTTTTTTTTTTTAACAGAGTTTGAGTAGGATTGGTATTAGTTCTTCTTTAAGTGTTTGGTAGAATTTAGTAGTGAAGCTGTCAGGTCCTCGGCTGTTTGATGGGAGATTTTTTTAATTATGGCTTTGATCTTGTTACTTGTTACTGGTTTGTTGAAGTTTTCTATTTCTTTGTGGTTCAGTCTTGGTAGATTGCATTTGTCCAGGAACTTATTCATTTCTTCTAGGTTTTCCAATTTGTTGGCATGTAGTTTTTCATAATAGTCTCTAATGATTCTTTGTATTTCTGTGGTCTTAGCTGTTATGTTTCCTTTTTCATTTCTGATTTTATTTATTTGGGTCCTCTCCCTTTTTTTCTTAGTCTAGCTAAAGTTTTGTCAATTTTATCTTTTCGAGAAAACTTTTTGTTTTGTTGATCTTCTGTAATTTTTTTAGTCTCAATTTCGTTTATTTCTGCTCTGATTTTATTTCTGCTCTGATATTTATTGTTTCTTTTCTGCTACTAATGTTGGGTTTGGTTTGTTCTTGTTTTTCTGGTCTCTTGGGGTACATTTTTTAGCTTGTTTATTTGATGTCTTTTTAGTTTTTTGGTATAAACCTCTCTCTTAGTACTGCTTTTGCCATATCACATAGATTTTGGTATGTTGTATTTCCATTTTCGTTTGTTTTAAGAAATTTTTTAATTTCCTTCTTAATTTCTTCATTGACCCATTGGTCATACAGGAGCATGTTGTTTGTGTTGCCATGTGTTTGTGTAGTTTCTGAGGTTCTTGTTATTGATTTCTAGTTTTATTCCACTATGATCACAAAAGACACAATATAATTTTTACTTTTTAAAATTTGTTGAGTCTTGTTTT
The DNA here is from genome assembly GCF_000001405.40 of Homo sapiens. NCBI lineage: Eukaryota > Metazoa > Chordata > Mammalia > Primates > Hominidae > Homo > Homo sapiens. The sequence goes on along the minus strand of NC_000004.12, from coordinate 88,371,460 downwards.
GTGGCCTAAGATATGGCTGACCTTGGAGAATGTTTCATATGCTCAGACTGTAAGAGTTTGATATTATCAATATAAGACACTGAAACCTCATATTGTTATTTCTTAAAAGAAAATCTACTGAATAACTAAAATGTAAGCGCATTGTACTCATTTTGTATTCCCAGCACCTAGCACAGTGTCTGCCAAATTTAAAAAAAAAAACTGAATAAATGTTAGTGAGATAAGTGAATAAAATGTATATTAAAGAAATTGAGCACATCTTTTTTTTTAAGAAAGATAATTTTCACTTAATCTGTGTTCATGCACTTGGAAACAGAAGGTCCGATATTTTGAGTACTTACCATGTGTTGATGATTTTATATAAAATATCTAATTCTTTCATCACCTTTCCTTAGTTAAGATTCTCCAGCCTGGCCAATATGGCAAAACCCCGTCTCTACTAAAATACAAAAATTAACCAGGTGCGTTGGAGGGCGCCTGTAATCCCAGCTACTCGACTTGCGAGGCTGAGGTATGAGAATCACTTGAACCTGGGAGGCGGAGGTTGCAGTCAGCTGAGATGGCGTCATTGCTCTACAACCTGGGTGACAGAGTGAGACTCTGTCTCAAAAAAAAAAAAAAAAGATTCTTTCGGTTGCACGTGACAGAAAATATAGCCCAAGCTCACTTAAGCAAAAGGGAAATTTACTTGTAGATTGCATTATTATTTTTCAAAAAACTTTGCTGCCCCTCTCCACCCTGTGACATCAATCTTGACCATGTGATTTGTTCTGGCCAATTATATGCAAGTGGGAAGCAAGCAACTTCAGGCAGATAGTTTAGAGCGAGCACTTCTTTTCCTACTTTTCTTTTCCTCCGTTACAACAGGTGATTTTCTAGAGAGAGACTGCTCTATTTTACTGAGTCCCAGATTAAAAACAACAATAAAGCAGCGCTGCAGGTAGCCCATGTAGCATCAGCAAGAGATAATTTTTGTTGTTGTAAGCACGTGAGCATTTAGGAGGTATTTATGATTACAGCGCAACTGTTTATTATTAAAGTCAAGTAACTGAAAAATCCACCAGAATGGCTGATTACAGGCACTACTGAAAACAAGGACTTAACCAATGTCCTTAATGACTCCATTTCTCTGTCTCTTCACTCCGCCTCTTGCTATGAGGGCTTCATCTTCAGGCTCCATGCAGTCTATCTTGCAATTCCAGGAGCTCCTCTGAGATTGCAAGAGGGTTACAGCAGCTCTAAACTTTATATATATCCAGCTCTCAGCTTCACAGCCTGTGTACAGAAAAAATCTGCTCAAAACAAAAGTCTTCACCCGATTTGGGTCATATGTCTACCCCTGAGGCAATCACTGTGGAAGCCAATGGGGTAGTCAGTCTACCTTGTGGATCAGGATGGAATCTCATCCATGCACTTTCTGAGCGGAGTAAGCAGATCCCAGATGAAAGGCATGTTGCTGGAAGAAAGCTGAGACAGATGCTAAGGAGTTAAGCAACACGACTTTCTATATCAATCATGCAAAATAAGTATTATTATTATTATTCTCATTTTTGAGGGTAAGGAATTAAGGCTCAGAGAGTTTAGGTAACTTGCTTGAAGTTACACGATGTGTATAAATGGCAGGGTTTGTTTTTTTTTTTTAGATGGAGTCTCACTCTATCACTCACCCAGGCTGGAGTGCAGTGGTGTGATCTCAGCTCACTGCAACTTCTGCCTCCCAGGTTCAAGCGATTCTTCTGCCTCAGCCTCCCAAGTAGCTGGAATTACAGGCAGGTGCCACGACGCCCAGCTAATTTTCGTATTTTTAGTAGAGACAGGGTTTCACCATGTTGGCCAGGCTGGTCTTGAACTCCTGACCTCAAGTGATCCACCTGCCTCAGCCTCCCAAAGTGTTGGGATTACAAGTGTTAGCCACTGCACTGGCCTAAATGGTAGGATATTAACACTGATCCATTTGACTAGAAAGCCTGTTTAATTTTTACTAAAGTCTTAGAACACTCTTTATTCCCTGATCTTTCCTTTCATGCCCCCTAGTGGCACTTCCTTAAAACCATTCCAGCTAAAAACCTCCAATTCATCTTACATTTTCTTGCCACTGCAAAACTCTCAGGCCAGGGGCGGTGGCTCACACCAGTAATCCCAAAAATTTGGGAAGTCAAAGGGGAGGATAGCTGGAGCCCAGGAGTTCAAGACCAGCTTGGGCAACAAGGCAAGACCCTGTCTATACAAAAAATCGAAAAGTTAGCCTGGCGTGGTGGCACACACCTATGGTCTCAGCTACACGGGAGGCTGAAGCAGGAAGATCACTTGAGCCCAGGAGGTCAAGGCTGTAGTGAGCTGTGTTCACTCTGCTTTACTCTAGCCTGGGTGACAGAGCAAGACCCTGCTTCAAAAAACAAAAAAGGAAAACCCTCCCCTAATGGATTAATTGCTGATTGGCTGATATCATCAATATCCCATTTTCTATCTACTTCTTTCTGTCTCCATCACTCCTACCAGAGTTGAGGTCTTTGGCAACAACATCTCAAATGTCTCTATATCTAACAACTGGCATCACAAATAGATCCTTCTTATTCTCCTGAGTGTTGCCTGTGGAAAACACAGGTCTGATCACACCACTTATTTTTCTTAATGGTTGTAGGCCTTTTGCCTACAGAAAAACAAAGAAAACAAAATCCTTTGCATATAATTAAAGGCCTTCTATTATCCACTTGTAACCAACCTTTCTATATTTATCTCACTGATAGTTATAGTTATATATATCCCCCCCACCCCACCACACATACACAGGGACTACTGTCAAAATGAACTACTTGCCTTTTCGTGCTTGCTTTTTCCTAAATCGATGCCTCTATTCATTCTGTGGTTTCTCTGTGGAATTTCCTTTTCCTCATTTCTTTTTATGAAAAAACATGTCTTAAATGTCTCATCTCTGTGAAGCCTTTTTTTTCTTTCTTTCTTTTTTTTTTTTTCTTTCTGAGACAGGGTCTTACTGTGTTCCCCAGGCTGGAGTGCAGTGGTGCAATCATGGTCACTGCAGCCTCGATCTCCTGGGTGCAGGTGATCCTCCCATCCCAAGCCTCCCAAGTAGCTGGGACTACAGGTCTGTGTCACCATGCCCGACCAATTTTTAAATTTTTTGTAGAGACAGGGTCTCACTATGTTGCCCAGGCTGGTCTAGAGCTCTTGGCCTCAAGTAATTGTCCAGCCTCAGCCTCCCAAAGTGCTGGGATTACAGGTGTGAGCCATCACACCCACCCTTGTGGGAGCCTTTCTTAGATTCCACCACGTGAATTGCTCCTTTTTCTAGGCTCTATAACAAATAATGTCTTTTGTACACATTCTGATATGGTTTGGCTGTGTCGCCACCCACATCTCAAATTGTAGCTCCCATAATTCCCACGTGTTATGGAAGGGACCGGGTGGGAGGTAATTGAATCATTGGAGTGGGTCTTTCCTGTGTTGTTCTCATGATAGTGAATAAGTCTCATAAGATCTGATGGTTTTATAAAGGGGAGTTTCCCTGCACATTCTCTCTCTCTTCCCTGCTGCCATTTATGTAAGACATGACTTTGCTCCTCCTTTGCCGTCCACCATGATTGTGAGGCTTCCCCAGCCATGTGGAACTGTGAGTCCATTAAACCTTTCCTTTATAAATTACCCAGTCTTGGGTATGTCTTTATTAGCAGCATGAGAACAGACTAATGCACATCCCTCCTGCCAATTTAATACTAGTTTCATATTATATTGCCATATTATTCTATCTTCAGTCAATAGTTAAAAAAAAAAATCTTGGCCAGATGCAGTGGCTCATGCCTGTAATCCTAACACTTCAGGAGGCTGAAGTAGGTGGATCACTTGGGGCCAGGACATCAAGGCCAGCCTGACCAATATGGTGAAACCTCGTGTCCACTAAAAATACACAAATTACCTGGGCATAATGGTGCACACCTGTAATCCCAGCTACTCGGGAGGCTGAGGCAGGAGAATTGCTTGAACCTAGGAGGCAGAGGTTGCATTGAGTCGAGATGGTGCCACTGCACACCAGCCTGGGCAACAGAGTGAAACTCTGTCTCAAATAATAATAATAAAGTTTAAAAAATAAAAAATATAAAAAATCTTTACTGAATATCCACTATAGGTATAACAAGGAGCAAACAAAATATAATAATTACTATTCATTAGCATTTACTTTAGACTTTACAAAATCTTTCCAGCTATTTCCCTCGTGTGTCCTCATAACCACAGAGTAGTAGCATGAGAGGGCTTACAGAGCTGAGAGTAATTTGTCCTGAGCTTGCAGATGAGTAAGTAGAATAGTGTCCCTTTATCAAAGAATACTCACATGAAAAAACAGAAAATCAATAGAAATTCACTGTCATCATACCTCTAAAATCAAACTTTGAAAATTATTTATACCTAATATTTTATTCCAGTAGCCTATTTTTCTTTTTTTACTAATTTTCCCCTAACAGTGATTTACGGAAGGGAAGAGAATGAGAAAAGGAAAATAAAATGAAATGCCCCAACTGCCTACCACATCTGTCTCTTTCACAATACATCGTCCAATTTGAGCAACCTCCCTATAAGGTACATATTATCCATGTATTATCTACCCAGGTACAGATATGAACAACTTAAGCCTCAGAAAACTCAAGTGATTTGCTCAAGATAACTAGTAAGGAAGTAGGGGATCCCAGAATCAAACCCTCTTTCCACTAAACAGCCCTGACTCAATGTGAGGTGAGGAGGACATTAGAAAGGGGATGAGAGAGTGTGAGCTTCTGAAAGGTCATCATGGAGTGAGTGGGGTTGAGGAGACACAGATAGACCAGTGAGGAAGTAGAAAAAGCAGTCTGGGGGAAATCCTCCAGAGGCAAGTAGAAGAACATCTAAGAGGAGGCAGGAGCGCTGCAAGTCTCCATTGTTCTTTTGCCTTTCTCTTCTTAGACTGTCTTCTCTTTAACTCCATTGTTCTGAGTTCAAAGCCCACACTCCGTGCTTTCAGCCCTTAAGACAAATAAAAAAATAGAACACACTCCCTAATATGCTTAGTTTTTTATTATACTCCAGCTGCCATCTCAGTCACCTCCAGGTGGCTCCCTGGAATATTATCTAGTGTTTTTCTGTTGTTGTTGTTGTTTTTGTTTTTTTTTTTTGCAAATGGACAAGACAATTAGGATGGCCCAGCACAAGTCAGCTGGGGGAAAGAAAACATTTGCTAAAACCCGACATTGTCCTTATAGACAAGAAATGGTAGTTTTCAATTTGAACACTAGATAGAAGTATTAGTCACCTTAATCTCTTATCATGCCTCCTCTTTCGCGGTTGATATATGTCAATGGTTGACATCTCTTTTCAGTGGTAGTCTTATAATTATCCACATGAATTTTTATGGCTTTCTACCCCAAATTTGTTGCATAATTTTAATATTTACTTTTAAAAAATAAGAAATGTTATACTCATGTTATTACTATTACTATTTCTACTACAACATTGTCATTATCAGAATACTGCACTTATCAGCAATCTCAGAAATCCAGAAAATAGTCCTGACCTGGGAAGATAAAGGAAAAGGGCCTCTGAATCCTAGAAATGATTGTCATTCATACCAGCGGCTTCACGACACATTGCCCAACAACAAACTGAAGACTGCCTGAGATGTGTTTAAAACATTGTTGGCCAGGCGTGGTGGCTCACACCTGTAATCCCAGCACTTTGGGAGGCTGATGTGGGCGGATCATGAGGTCAGGAGATCGAGACCATCCTGGCTAACACGGTGAAACCCTGTCTCTACAAAAAATACAAAAAATTAGCCGGGCGTGGTGGTGGGTGCCTGTAGTCCCAGCTACTTGGGAGGCTGAGGCAGGACAATGGTGTGAACCTGGAGGCGGAGCTTTCAGTGAGCCGAGATCACGCCACTGCACTCCAGCCTGGGGGACAGAATGAGACTCCATCTCGAAAAAAAAAAAAAATCGTTTAACTTGGCCGGGCGCAGTGGCTCATGCCTGTAATCCCAGGGTTTTGGGAGGCCGAGGAGGGTGGATCACCTGAGGTCAGGAGTTCAAGACCAGCCTGGCCGACATGGTGAAACCCTGTCTCTACTAAAAATATAAAAATTAGCTGGGTGTGGTGGTGGGTGCCTGTAATCCCAGCTACTTGGGAGGCTGAGGCAGGAGAACCACTTGAACCCCCGGGAGGTGGAGATTGCAGTGAGCCGAGATTGCATCACTGCACTCCAGCCTAGACAACAAGACCAAAACTCCATCTCAAAAAAAAAATGTTTAACTTAATTTCTTAACCTAGGTGAACTAGTGGAGACTTCCATGCAAGTTTAGATTAATTTTACCTGCACATAATAAAGCTGTAAAAAATAATGGTTTAACAAATACAAGCTTATTTCTCTCACAGGTAAAAAATTCAGAGGTAAGCATGTTGCAAGAAGTCAGGGACCCCGAATGGAGGGACCCGCTGGAGCCACAGCAGAAGAAACATAAATTGTGAAAATTTCATGGACATTTATCACTTCCCTAATAATACTCTTATAATTTCTTATGCCTGTCTTACTTTAATCTCTTAATCCTGTTATCTTCATAAGCTGAGGATGTACATCACCTCAGGACCCTGTGATGATTGCGTTAACTGAACAAATTGATTGTAAAACATGCGTGTTTGAACAACATGAAATCAGTGCACCTTGAAAATGAACAGAATAACAGTGATTTTAGGGAAAAAGGGAAGACAACCATAAGGTCTGACTTGGGGTTGGGCAAAAAGAGCCATATTTTTCTTGTTGCAGAGAGCCTATAAATGGACGTGCAAGTAGGAGAGATATCGCTAAATTCTTTTCCTAGTAAGGAATATAATATTAAGACCCTAGGAAAAGAATTGCATTCCTGGGGGGAGGTCTATAAACGGCCACTCTGGCAGTGTCTGTCTTATGCGGTTGAGATAAGGACTGAAATACACCCTGGTCTCCTGCAGTACCCTCAGGCTTATTAGGGTGGGGAAAAAATCCCACTGTGGTAAATTTGAGGTCAGATTGGTTCTCTGTTCTTGAACCCTGTTTTCTGTTGTTTAAGATGTTTATCAAGACAATACGTGCACAGCTGAACATAGACCCTTATCAGGAGTTTTTGACTTTGCCCTTTGCCTTGTGATCTTGCTTTGTCCTTTGCCTTGTGATCTTTATTCGCCTCAAAAGCATGTGATCTTTGTTCTGCCTTTTGCCCTCTGAAGCATGTAATCTTTGTGACCTACTCCCTGTTCATACACCCCCTCCCCTTTTGAAATCCTTAATAAAACTTGCTGGTTTTGGGGCTCAGGTGGGCATCATAGACCTACCAATATGTGATGTCACCCTGGTAGCCCAGCTGTAAAATTCCTCTCTTTGTACTCTTTCTCTTTATTTCTCAGATCAGCCAATACTTAGGGAAAACAGAAAGAACCTACATTGAAATATTGGGGGCAGGTTACCCCAATATAAGCAGCCAAGGGCTGGGGTGGCAATGCTTTGGTTTTTTAGGGACTCAGTCACCTTCTGTGTTTCTGCTTCATTTGAGGACCTAACTTTCATCCTGCAGGTCACCTCACTTTCTAAGATTCCAGATGGAGTTCTAGCTATCACAACTCTATTCCAAAGCTACTAAAAGGAGGAAAGAGACTGTTATCCCAGAAATCCCATAAAACACTTCTGTGCACATCCAATTAACCAAAACTTATTCATGTGGCTATAGCAGCTGCAGAAGTTGCCGAAAATGTAGTTTTTAGCTCAGCACATTAAACTCCAAACAAAATTGGATTTCTGTTATCAAGGAAGGAGAGGCCAGGTGCAGTGACTCGCCTGTAATCCCAGCACTTTGGGAGGCTGAGGCAGGAGGATTGCTTGAGCCCAGGAGTTCAAGACCAGCTTGGGCAATAGAATGGGACCCCGTTTCTATTTAAAAAAAAAGAAAGGAAGGAGAGACGAGATATTAGGTGGCAATGAGCAGTCACTCCACAACCTACCAACAAGGAATTGGAGGTATTTGCTCCAGACACAAGTGGTAGGCAGGGTCCACTTCATGAGTGTGAAGAAAACTGAACTATTCACCTCAAAATATGCTTCTTTGACATATTCTGTGACTAGGGTGCCTGCAGACAGAGTGACCCTGCAAAGCTGTCTTTTGTGGGAGAGATTTGTATCTGTAGAGAAGATAAAGTGAACGAAACAATGGAAGCAAACAAGCTTTCTTTGAAGCCCTCCCTTGTCCAGATTTAGGAAAGGTTAGTGGAGACTCTAACATCTATTTATCAAAATTTACCATCTATTCTCTTTGAGGGCTGCTACCTGTGAGATTTCATCTATATAACCAGACCACCTTTGCTAGGCAAACCTCCTCTTCTCTTCCTCCCATGACCTGTCTTGCCACCACCACCAGATTTACTGCCATAACTTGTGTGGACATGCTCCAAACCCTTACCCTTTTTATGTATATATAATTTTTATTTTATTTTATTTTTTTGAGATGGAGTCTCACTCTGTTGCCCAGGCTAAAGTGCAGTGGCACGATCTCAGCTCGCTGCAACATCCCCCTCCCAGGTGCAAGCAATTTTCCTGCCTCAGCCTCCCAAGTAGCTGTAACTATAAGCACGCACCACCACACCCAGCTAATTTTTGTATTTTTAATAGAGACGGGGTTTCACCATGTTGGCCAGACTGGTCTTGAACTACTGGCTTCAAGTGATCTGCCCGTAGTTGGTTACTGGGATTACAGGCTGAGACACTGTACCCAGCCGAGGTCACACTTCTGTTAAACCAGAACTTGTTTCCAACACAGAAAAAAGGCAATGGCATTCCAAAAACACAAAGGAAAGAAGTGACCCTTATTATTGTCTTACTCCTATTACTTCTCAGGATTAGCCAGCCTCTTATGTTGAAAGTGATGACATAGAAAGAAAAGGGAAGACAGGGCAACCCATAATTTTTTTCCCTTTCAATCTTCCCTTATCATTAAGCCAAAAGTAAGAGTGTTAGTGGAATATGTGGGGCATTAAGAAGTGAAATAAAACAGATAAGTAAGTTTTGTGCAGTGTTTCAGTGGAAAGAAAGACGGGTAAGAATGAAATACAGATGCGTATAACGGCTAAAAAAATAAAAGTTGGACAATTTTGGTGATTTTGCGTACTAATTAAATGCTCTTATATTTGCATTTAAAACTGGTATGGGGAGGAAAAATCATTTTCTTCATCACTTTTCATGAATTCTTAGCTGGGACTCCCTGTAATAAAAGACAAATTAACAACAGAAAAACACACAGAGATGTAATAACATGTAAACCTCTTGTATACATTGGTGATAATCCAGAGAAATTAGTAAATCTCTAGAGTAGATCTTAGTCTTAGACTTCAGGCTGAAATACCATCATTTCTCTGAAAGAAAAAAAAAAAGAGTATAGGGAACAGCCAGTTAAGGTAAGATGGCCAGGAAAAACATTTTTAAAGATAAGCGTTGTTATGCAGATTTAAGTTGATACCTTTCTCCGTTAAGAGCCTCTAGTGGTTTAGTCATCCCTCTCTTCCCGGTGCAGAGGAGACACCCCCCAGATATTTTCTTCATAGATGTAAATTTCCCTTACCAAAGGGCAACCTTCATCCTTGTTTTCAGAGCTACTCCTGTGTCTGGAGTTTCTCAAAATAACCAGCTTGCGTCCGGAATTGGTGGGTTCTTGGTCTCGCTGACTTCAAGAATGAAGCCGCGGACCCTGGTGGTGAGTGTTACAGTTCTTAAAGATGGTGTGTCTAGAGTTTGTTCCTTCCCATGTTCGGACGTGTCTGGAGTTTCTTCCTTCTGGCGGGTTTGTGGTTGGCTGACTTCAGGAGTGAAGCTGCAGACCTTCGAGGTGAGTGTTACAGCTCATAAAAGCTGGCATGGACCCAAAGAGTGGGCAGCAACAAGATTTATTGTGAAGAGCGAAAGAAAAAAGCTTCCACAACATGGAAAGGGACCCTAGCGGGTTGCCGCTGCTGACTCAGCCGGCGTGCTTTATTCCCTTATTTGGCCCTACCCACATCCTGCTGATTGGTCCATTTTACAGAGAGCTCATTGGTCCATTTTACAGAGCGCTGATTGGTCCGTTTTACAGAGAGCTGATTGGTCCATTTTGACAGAGTGCTGATTGGTGCATTTACAAACCCTTAGCCACAAAAGTTCTCCAAGTCCCCACCCATCCCAAAAGCCCAGCCGGCTTCACCTCTCACCGGCATTCACCACAGGACTTTGCGGCACCTAGCCTGAACACTCCGACAGCCCAGAGGGAGCTTGTCCCAGACAATCAAGAGGAAAAGACGGTAAGCCATAAAGAGATGGAGACCTGCTATCCTGGCGAAGAGGGAATGGTGGTCCACACACGGGATTCAGCCTCGGATCAAGCCCAGCAGGTACCAGCTGGCCACGCCAAGTGTGGGGCTTGCCGAGCTGGTGCTCACCTGGAACCCGCGCCAGCCCAGGAGCACCGAGTGCCGCGTGCAGCCCCGGCTCCTGCCGGCACCTCTCTTTTCTTTTCTTTCTTTCTTTCTTTTTTTTTTAAGTATACTTTAGGTTTTAGGGTACATGTGCACAACGTGCAGGTTAGTTACATATGTACACATGTGCCATGTTGGTGTGCTGCACCCATTAACTCGTCATTTAACATTAGGTATATCTCCTAATGCTATCCCTCCCCACTCCCTGCACCCCACAACAGGCCCTGGTGTGTGATGTTCCCCTTCCCGTGTCCATGTGTTCTCATTGTTCAATTCCCACCTATGAGTGAGAACATGAGGTGTTTGGTTTTTTGTCCTTGCGATAGTTTGCTGAGAATGATGGTTTCCAGCTTCATCCATGTCCCTACAAAGGACATGAACTCATCATTTTTTATGGCTGCATAGTATTCCACAGTGTATATGGCAACTCTCTTTTCACACTTCCCCACAAGTGGAGGGAGCCGGCTCCGGCCTTGGCCAGCCCCAGAGAGCAGCCCTCATAGTGCAGCAGCGGGCTGAAGGGCTCCTTGAGTGTGGCCAGAGCGGATGCCAAGGCCAAGGAGGCGCCAAGAGCGAGCAAGGGCTGCTTCCATGTTGCCACTTCTCAAGCTCAATATAATTATTATGCCAAAGAGCCATATTTGGCATGGCATATTCTGGTTCCCTGGAGTCATATTTTGGGGTACTGTGTCCTGAGCCCCATCACTGGCATTGCACAATATAAAGATGAGGGTAGAATTGATGCTAGTGGTTTAAAGTGATACTTTACTTAGAACAACATTAAGGAGCAAATAAAAAAATACCATGACAAAGTAAGACAGTGTGGAAGAAAAGTAAAAGCTTTATATTTTAGTGCCTTGAATTGCATTTTTTTTCTTAGTTTTTGAACAAGAGGCTTTGCATCTTCACTTTGCATTGGGCTCTACCAATTATAAAGATGGTGCTGATGGCAGAGTCTAATAATTCACTCAGATTATGCAAAAACATTTATTTTCCACTGTAAGGTTCTTGTATCGGTTCGAACCCTGAGAGCATGCCAACAGACAACACGAGGTGGTGTGGAGCAACATGCTGTTTTAATGAGCGCCTAGGTGCTGGCCGGCTGAGGCCTAAAATGGTGTCAGCCCCAGGTGAGGACAGCGCAGAAGTTTTATAGCCTCCTGTAAACAGGAAGTGTCCTAGTCTGATGTAACTGCTACATTGTACCCAGATGGCCTCTTTCTCGGATCTTCGGTGGTACATGTCTTACGGCCAGGGTAGGTGTCTTCTGGTTGGCTCTCTTCCTGCTTCTGCTGTCTTGCTGACACACGCTGCTGATGCAGGTGGCCTTGCACCTTGGGACTGGGCCTGAGCAGGGAGGAGTCACTCATCCCCTTAGGCTTTCAGGCCCTGGGGAGAATCTTACAAGTTACCTGAAACTAATTATCAAGCCTCTATGCTAGTGAGTGGGGAAGGATCTTAAACTCATCATTTTAACTATCTCCATATCCTGTTTAATCTGTTTTTCAGGTAAATACTCCACTTTCCAGACATTCTTCCTTCCTGTACCACCCGAGTGCAGTGCCAATATGGGAACTACAATGAAAGATTGGAGGGAAAGGATAAAGTGGTTTATTCAAGTCAGGCGAGAAGGCTATTTCCTTGATAGTGTTTATCAATAGAGTTCATCATTGTATCACGAACTTTTATAGAAATTTCTTCACACTTTCGACCTTAATCATCACCAGTTTATACTGAGGGAAATAAAAATATTGAACCTCAAAATATATTTTGGGATAGCTGTCAGAGAGACAGCAAACAGAAGTAGCCTTGCAAAGCTTAGTTGGTATTTAAGCTTTTGTGGGGGGAATTTGCAGAGTAGGGAGGAGTAAAAGTAAATGAGAGAAAAATACTTAAGAAAGGACGTGAACAGAGGGATTGAGCACATAATTTTAAAAAGGGTTTCAGTCAACTGAAAAAAATGTTCATAATGGGATCCAAAGAGAAAAAGCAGAAAAGATATACATATATGTATATATATATACACACACATATATGTACACACATATATGTATATATTTGTGTGTGTGTGTGTATATATATATATAAATCAGCTTTTAATTGAGCTTATTTTAACCATAGAGCTTGCATTAGTCCATTCGTGCATTGCTATAAAGAAATACCTGAGACTGGATAATTTATAAAGAAAAGAGGTTTAATCGGCTCACAGCTCCACAGGCTGTGCAGGAAGCATGATGCTGGCATCTGCTCTCCTTCTGGGGAGGCCTCAGGAAGCTTAAAATTGTGGCGGAAGGTAAAGGGGGAGCAGGCATCTTATATGGCGGGAGCAGGAGCAAGAGAGAGAGAGAGGGGAGGTGCTACGGACTTTTAAACAACCAGCTCTCCCAAGAACTCACTATCACAACAGCACCAGGGGAATGGTGCGAAACCATACAGGAAGGATCCACCACCGTGATCTGACACCTGTACATGTCTGAAAGAAACATATACCACCTATTCTCTCTGAGAGCTGCTACCTGTGAGGTTTCCTCTACATCACAAGACCATCTTTGCTAGCCAGGCCTCCTCTTCTCTCCTTCTCATAACCTGTTTTGCCGTGATCCAAGCCCCCGTTCTTTCTGTAACAAGATGGTATATAAGCTTTTGCACCCCACTGGGGCAGGGGTGGGTGATCACTCTGTGATGCTCCCCATGTACACATTCATAAAATGTGTATGCCTTTTCTCCCATTAATTTGCCTTTTGTGAGTTGACTTTTTTGTAAACTGTCTGAGGGTAAAGGGGAAGTGTTCTCTCCCTTTGCCCTACAGTTTTGGCACTGTGAGCAGGATCACCAAAGCCGCTCTGTTTTTTTGGAAGCAGCAGTGAGGGGAATCTAAGCCCTGATTGGCCAGCATAAGGGTAAGAATTTATTATTTTATTTTATTTTATTTTATTTTTTGAGATGGAGTTTTCACTCTTGTTGCCCAGGCTGGAGTGCAATGGTGCGATCTTGGCTCACTGCAACATCCGCCTCCCAGGTTCAAGCGATTCTTCTGTCTCAGCCTCCTGAGTAGCTGGGATTACAGATGCCTGCTACTATGCCTGGCTAATTTTTGCTATCAGGTAAGAATTTCTTATCAGCCATGCCTCTGGACCCACTCTCTCTCTCTCTCTCTGTGGAATCCTGTCAAGCAGATGGTAAAGGTCACTGTTTCTTTTTCCCCTCTGAAATCTTGATTAATGGGAGAGAAGGATTTGTGTGAGTATTTGTAGGCATAGAGACTCTGGCGTGCTTTTCAGTCATTCGTGGTATGGAGGTACCTATTGTTTGATCCCTTTCTTCCCAGAAATAGTATTTTCCTTGGTCTTTGTCTTTCTATGTTGTTCTGTCATAAAGAGAGGTATCAGATAAGTTTCCCGCTCATCTTGTTCTATGTCCTCAAGAGCTTGACCTGTGACTAAGTGGAAGCAATCTCTCTGGGTCTCTACCATCTGGGGTGCTTGATTTCTAGGTCATGTCAACTGGTCAGTCTGAAAGTAGCTGGGAACCTGAGACTTTGTTCTGAATGTGTCAAGCTCTTGAGAGAGTCTGTCATAAGAAGTCTATCCATAAAGGGCTTTTGTCACCTCTACCCTTCTTGACTGGTTAGTGCTGGGAAAGTCCAATTCCAGAAGGGCCTACCCGACGTCGCATATTAACTGGTCTGTGATTGACAGTCCCCCACAAATTTGTGGGTTACTGTCTATGGGCAACAAGAGTCTTCTGCTGTCTTGGCCTATTCTTGAAGTTAATTTTTCAGGGAGGATCTTTGGGACAGCCTCTTCTGTGCCCTCTCTGAGAAAATGCCTTCTGAACCTGGATAATTAGACCCTGGGCTTTCCATAAGGAGGCTATTGGAATGAGTCACTATTGGAATAAATGCACCATTGGAAATTCAATGGCCAGGAGATGTATCCTTTAAACTAGATTCCTACATTTTTGTGTTGTTGTTAGAAACAGAGTCTTGCTGTGTCACCCAGGCTCTGGAGTGCAGTGGTGCAATCATGACTCAAGAAAGCCTCAAACTCCTCATCACCTAAGTGATCCCCTGCCTCAGCCTTCCAAATAGCTTGGACTATAGGTGCATGCCACCATGATGGCTAATTTTTTTATTATTATTATTTTGTAGAGACAGTGTCTCACTATGCTGCCCAGGCTAGTCTCAAACTCCTGGCTTCAAGGATCCTCCCATCTCAGCCTCCCAAAGTGCTGCGATTACAGGCAAGAGTCATCACACCAGCCAACTCCTAAATTAAAAAAAAAAATTTAGAGATATTTTATTTTAAAAAGTTAATGGAAGCTCAAATTAAAAGAAAGAGACATAATAGTGTCATGACTAGCCTTAGAAATTCTCTTGACAAAATTAAAGAGCAAAAATCTGGCCTAAAACAAAGTTAAAATCCTTTGTAAGCTCAAACTTCCTGCTGTGATCCCCTGTAGGGTTCACAATAAAGGTGGCTTTACTTTGTAGTCCTGTGATTTACAACTGCAGTCTGGGTTTGATTCCCAATCAGAGAACTAAATTGAGTGAAAATCAATGAAATTGGCCTCCTTATAAAATCCTATGGTAAGTTCCCATGCTTCTGTGTAACCTTGGCATCCATTTCTAATATTCCTATAACACTCTCAAATTCCTTCTTAAAAAGATTTAATTCTCTCTCTATGTGCTTTGAGATGTAAATTTGTTACTCTGTTTTCTCTAAAACCCAGTAGGGTCTAAGACCATGTGAGATTAACTTTTTCATGTACAAAGGCGCAGTTTTAATCCAACTGTCCTTTAAAACTAGGTAGTTTTAGAAATCTATGTCTAAAAATTTTAAGTCAAAGATATAAAGTCTTTGTGTCTGTCTTTATTTTTATGCCTACGTGTCTATGTTTATATATTCTCTGTATGACTTTAAGTAAATGAGTACTCATGAATTAAGTAAATAAGCCCTAATGCTTTACAAGTTCATGTGATTTTGTTAATCTTTGGTAAAGAGAGTTATACAATTTTGATAAAATAGAAATGTCTTCATAATTTAACCTAGAGTTTTTTGCTGGATCTATTGGTCAGACAGATTTATACTGTCTCTACTGTATGTTTTAAGGTCATAAAACTGTTACTTCTTTGGGAGGCCGAGGTGGGCAGATCATGAGGTTAGGAGTTCAAGACCAGCCTGACCAACATGGTAAAACCCCACCTCTACTGAAAATACAAAAATTAGCTGAGCATGTTGGCACGCACCTGTAATCCCAGCTACTCGGGAGGCTGAGGCAGGAGAATCGCTTGAACCCAGGAGGCAGAGGTTGTAGTAAGCTGAGATTGTGCCACTGCACTCCAGTCTGGGTGACAGTGTGAGACTCTGTCTCAAAAAAACAAAACAAAACAAAACATAACAAAACAAAAAACAAAATAAACTTTTACTTCTGTGATATTTTTGATACTTGCTTTTTTTGATAGTTTGTAAGCTTATGCCTTTGGAGTTCAGCCTTTAGATTCTGAAGTCTAGGCAAATGACCATGGTGAAACCTGGGACAATACCTGGGCCCTGTCCCCCTGGCCTAGCTATGCCTCTTGGCCATGCTGAGAGGAGTTAGATCCTCCAGGCATTGTCTTCATGGCTCTGCATCTGGTACATAATTAAAATTGCTTTTTTCCTAGGTTTTTCACTGAAAATTAGGGTTACTAAGAGTTAACATTATACTTAACATATGTAATTAAAACTACTAGATATAAGAAAAGCAATTCTGTATGCTGAAGTATATAAGAAAAGTAAAATGCATTTTTGGTTAAAAAAAGTTTATAAAAAGGCATGAGAATATGGTTTTTGTTAAAGGAAAAGTAATTTTGCATAGTTTAGAGGTTTTTAAAAGCTGTTTTAAATTTTAAGAATAAGAAAATTGGTAACACTGAATGAACAGAGAAAGTTGAGGAAATGAGAGTGGGAAAATTTGGAATGATTTATAAAAGGTTTATGGAAATCATAATTTGTGGTCAAAACTGAGATGGCTGAATTTGTTCATACAGTTTTATTAAAATTAACTTTAGCATAATAATATACTGATGTAAAGTAGACTTTGGTTTTCTAGAAAACAAGATTTTTGTAAATAATAAGAGATAGTAAAAAGGTTTGTTTACCTCTTAAGTAAACTGCAAAATAAAGAGAGAGAAAAAATAGTTTAAGTTTGCCTTGTGGTGTCTTTATTAGGTCTTATGATTGTTGGGGAAACTGAGTCTCTTCACTATCAAAGAGTAAAGATTTTTGCTCTTGAAATTTTTTTTTTGAGATGGAGTCTTGCTTTGTCCCCCAGGCTGGAGTGCAGTGGCTTGATCTCGGCTCACTGCAACCTCTCCCTCCAGGGTTCAAGTGATTCTCCTGTCTCAGCCTCCTGACTAGCTGGGATTACAGGTGCCTGACACCACAGCTGGCTAATTTTTGTATTTTTAGTAGAGATGGGGTTTCACCATGTTGGTCAGGCTGGTCTTAAACTCCTGACCTCAAATTATCTGCCCACTTTGGCCTTTCAAAGTGCTGGGATTATGGTGTGAGCCACCATGCCTGGTCCACTTTTTGAAATCTTTTAATTATCATTTTGGGTAATTAAAAGATAATTAAATGATAATTTATCCAAAATGGTAATTTATCCAAAGTGATAATCGTAGTGACCTGCAATCCTATTTTGACCAAGTGTTTTAAAACTTTAATATTTGATATTCTTCCCAAAAACAAAATTTCTAATTCTAAATTCAGTCATTTTTATCTCAAACTAGCATTTTGGATATTAGGGTCCCTAGAAATACAAGAGAGACACATTAGGCTTATTTGATATGTTAAGATCAAATGGGAAGCATCGTCAAATAAGAAATGGTGGTTAACTTTCTCTGAGTTATATTTATATAAATGTGTTATTGATATATATTCCAAAATTGTAATTTTGGATAATTAAATTACTAAATTTAATTACTAAAATTCTGATATGTGTTAGTATATGTTATTGGTAATAATTATAATTATTATGTTAAATTATTGTTTTACTTTGTTTCTTCTCAAAAAGCAATTTATAATTGGTTATAGTCCAAAATTTTCTTCTTCAAGGAAATTTATGGAAAGGAACCTAACACATATTATTGAATACAGATTTCTCATAACTTTGGAGGTCATACCATTGGTCTAGGTAGAAAACGTCTAGGACTCTAAAAAGATGATACATTCATGAAGATTGCTAACCCAACATCAAATGGAACAAGAATTAATTACATCAGACTAAATTAATAGAGGACTGAAATAAGTTTTGTGACTTTTTTTGGTTTGAAACATGGCTGATTCTTTTTGTTTTGTTTTCCATGGTCAAAAAAACTTTTTTTTTCTCCCTTGAGCTATTTATAACTTACAACAATTGGGTTAAATATACTTTTGTGAGCACATGTGAATCATTTAGCTTTCTCTAAACCTAATTTCTCCAGAATTTGGAAACTATTTGTGAGTATTCTTAATTTATGGCAATATAATTATTTACATAAGTTCAATAAGAATCTTTTTTTTCTTTTTAATAAAAGGACACAGTTAGAGGCACTGGTTATTTTACCAAGGCTTTGACTGGAATGGCATATTTTCAGACATGAACAGACTGCTTTAAGGAATTCACATTGACTTTATTGAGCTGCTAAGACATCCCTTGGACAGACTGGCCTGGTAATTTTTCTATGCAGTTCCTTTACAAGGTTCCTGAGCTGTGGTGAGAATGCAACATTCTGACAGGCCCATGCACCTCAAGTTATTTTGAGACCTCAAGAAAAGAGAAATTCATCCAATTTGTACAGGTATTGAAGACAGTATGGTGGCAAATCCTTGGCTTGGCTTTCCACCCTCAAGGCTTTTAAAAATGTAATCTGTCAGATTGCCACTGCAGTCCAAAGATGCTCCAGAGACTCCAGAAAGACTATTCTATAGACTACTCCAGTCATTAACCTTAATTTTTCTTCTGTATCCATAGAAATGCCTCTTATTAAAGATCTGTTTTCCTGCATCATACATAGAGGCCTAGCCCATCCGTTATGCCACCTCCTGGAATGGGACACAGCTGTTTAATTGAGCTGATCTATCCTCAGAACTAAGAGACTGACTAAAGAAGATATGGAATTCTATATTTAACTTTGCTCTTTTCTGCTTATCCCAATTGTTTTTTCCACTTTTCTTCTATATCTAACAACCTCTAACCAAAGTCTCTCCAAAGCAATCAGCTTGGCCTTTAAAATGTGAAATTTTAAAGTTTCAAAGTGGGGACTAAAGGATATCAAAATATTTTATCCCCCAAAATATATTTCTTTGACATATTTTGAGATGGCTGTCAGAGAGCTAGCATACAGAAGTAGCCCTGCAAAGTTATATCTTGTGGGGGAAATTTGCATCTGTAGAAAATCTGCATTGATGAAGCCAGGCCTTCCCTTGTCTAGATCTGGGAAAGATTAACTGAGAGTCTGAAACACCTTTAAAGGTCTGAAAGAAACATTTGCCATCTATTCTCTAACAGGACTGCTACCTGTGAAGTTTCAACTATGTAATGAGAACACCTTTGCTAGCCAAGCCTCCTCTTTTCTCCCTTTGGTAATCTGTTTTGCCACAGCCGAAGCCCTCATTCTTTTTGTAACCTCAAGATGGCATTTAAGCTTCTGCATTCCATTGCGGGGTTGGGTAATCACTCAGTAATGTTCCCCATGTGTATGCTAATAAAATGTGTATGCTTTTTCTCCAATTAATCTGCCTTTTGTGAGCTGATTTCTCATCAAACGTTCAGAAAGCAAATGGGAAGTTGTCCCTTTGGCCCCTACAATGATATCTAGGAAAACTTGAATCAGAATGTAGCAATTCAAATGGTTGAGTTACAGAAAACTTTTGAAGGACTATAGTAAACAGCCTGTTCATATCAGTAGAGATTTGACTTGTTGAATTCTAAAAAAATGCAAACCATGATTGCTTCTAATTCCCCCTAGTTAATACTCATTAAATGCTTTCTAAGTTGCAGGCCCTGTCCTTGGAGGTTCACAGGAATTATTCTGTTGAATCATCACAGCAACACTATCAAGAAGGTACAGTTATTATCCTTATTTCAAGTAAGATGGAACTGAGGCATTAAGGAATAAAGTAACTCACACACCCAAGAAGTGTTGTAGCTGGTATATGATACCAGACAGTCTGACTCCAGAGCCTTCACTCTTGGTACACATAAAACGTATTAATTTTCTCAAGAAAGCACAGGAACTTATTTATAATTGAATTAAATTTATGGAATTTATTCTCACTAGTGAATTGCCTTGTGATATTTGGCAGACTTGCAGAGGCATCTGATGGATGTAAAATCATGTCATCAGAAGAGAGTCATAAACTTGGATAAATGTGTCACCATTTGTGTTTATGGGGACTTCCATGAGAGGGCAAACCTCAGGATACACTTAAATCATCAAACATCTGGGGAGCTCTAAGTTTCAGGAAAATCTGAAAGGGACTAGGGATGGTAAGGAGCTGTAGTAACGCTGAAATGATAAGGGACAAGTGTTGGATCTGCCTAGAAACCCTAGTGCCTCTAGTTTTATAAAAATTACAATTTTTTTGAAATTTTCTTAGAAAACAAAACAAAACTCTAAGAACCAACACCCATGAGATAAACCTAGAGTCAGAATAAAAATGTATCCCTATGGCTCAGGAATAAATCAATCCTTCAAATACTATTAGCTGTACTGACTTTGTGAGGACCTCCTGGGTCACCAAGTTGGTATAAAATTATCTTAAGCTGAAGACTTTTATGATACAACAGATGCAGAAAGAAGCCTTCTTGGAGCTTCCCTTATCTGACTATCGCAGAAACTTCTGAGACATGATGACTGCCGTAAATTCTCTTTTGAGGGAAGCTTCTACTCCCAGGAGAGAGACCAAGAGTGTACCTACCATAATTCCTCTCTGGGGTTGTGGGGAAGTTTTATGACCGTGAAAAGGACTAAGACCATGCATAGCAGTATAAACAAACAATGGCACAAACTTTATCTACTTTCCTAAATCCCACTGAAACTGCCTTTGCAAAATTATGACAGTAAGCGAAATCTGATGTAGTTGACTCCATCTTGCTGCTGACCTCCAAGCTGTCCTTGTCATTCCTTGGAATAAGCCAAGCTAACATTGGGAGGAACTTAGTTTATAGTTTCACTTGAAAGCAAGGATGATAATAGTCTCTGTATTAGTCCATTCTCACATTGCTATAAAGAACTACCAGAGACTGTGTAGTTTATAAAGAAAATAGTTTTTAATTGACTCACAATTTCACAGATTGTACAGGAGGCATGGCTGAGGAGGCCTCAAGAAACTTACAATCATGGCAGAAGGCAAAGGAGAAGCAAGCACATCTTCACATGGCGACAGAAGTGCCACACACTTTTAAACAAGCAGATCTTATGAGAACTCATTATCACAAGAAAAGCAAAGGGGAAATTCGACCCCATGATCCAATCACCTCCCAACAGGTCCCTTCTGCAATGTTGGGAATTATAATTTGACATGAGATTTGGGTGGGGACACAGAGCCAACTCATTACAGTCCCTCCCTAAAACTAATTCCCTCCTTACACACGGACTCAAAATCACCTTTGTAAGTCTAATGAAAGGCTGCAAGAATAGGATTATGGGAGGGGCTTGAACTCTGCTAAAATGTAGGTATAGTTTCTATAATTCCTTACTGCTCAAGGGTCATGTGGCCAGGCCAGAGGGCTATTATCATTTAAACTATAAACTAAATGTCTCCCAGAGTTAGCTCGGTCCAAGCCCAGGAATAATCACTGGCAGCTAAAGGCAAGATGTTCAGTCAGATCTCTTTTACTGCCATAATTTTCTCATATAATTTTTGGAAAGGCAGTTTCCAGAGGATAGGTGGAGCATACATGCAGTTGATAAGCTTTGTTCAGGCATGAATTACAGTGCTGTTGGTTGTGAGTTGAATGTAAATAAATTAACAAATATATTAAGGTATCTTAACAGAAACACACATAAAACCAGGTTATATATTGATCAATTGACAAAAAGGTGACAATTGATCAATTGACAAAAAGAACTCACATGATCTTTCCCCTATATTTCCTTTAAGAACAATGATTCACCATTCACTAATTCAGTATTCACAACAACTTTGTGAAAGGAAAATATCTTGGGCCCCCAAAATCACTAAGCTAAAAGGAAAATTCAAGCTGGAAATGCTCAGGGCACACCTGCCTCCCATTCTATTCAAAGTCATCCCTCTGTTCACAGAGATAGATGCATGTTCTGATTGCCTTTTTGGAAAGGCTTATCAGAAACTCAAAAAATGTAACCATTTATCTCTCACCTATCTGTGACATGGAAGCCCCCTGGGGTGGGGATGGGAGGGCAAGGTGGCAGGGACAGGGGGGCTTGCCTTGAGTAGTCTCTGCCTTTCTGTATGGAACCAATGTACTTCTTACATATATTGATTCATGCCTCATGTCTTCCTAAAATATATAAAACTAAGCTGTGCCCCAACCACTTTGGGCATGTGTTGTCAGGACTTCCTGAGGTTGTGTCATGGGTGTGCATTCTCCACCGTGGCAAAACAAATTTTCTAAATTAACTGAGACCTGTCTCCAATTTTTGGGGTTCATAACTTTATAGACCATAACTAACACAAATAATGAGGACATTCTATATATTTAACTGTATTTTACAGTAGTCCTCCCTTATCTATGTGTCAGGCCTCTGAGCCCAAGTTAAGCCATCATATCCCCTGTGACCTCCATGTATACATCCAGATGGCCTGAAGCAAGTGAAGAATCACAAAAGAAGTGAAAATGGCTGGTTCCTGCCTTAAATGATGACATTCCACCATTGTGATTTGTTCCTGCCCCACCTTAACTGATCAATTAACCTTGTGAAATTCCTTCTCCTGGCTCAGAAGCTCCCCCACTGAGCACCTTGTGAGCCTCAAGCCTACCCTCAAGAGAACAACCCCCTTTGACTGTAATTTTCCGTTAGCTACCCAAATCCTATAAAACTGCCCCACCCCTATCTTCCTTGCTGATTCTCTTTTCGGACTCAGCCCGCCTGCACCCAGGTGATTAAAAAGCTTTACTGCTCACACAAAGCCTGTTTGGTGGTCTCTTCACATGGACGCGTGTGACATTTGGTGCCGTGACTCGGATTGGGGACCTCCCTTGGGAGATCAATCCTCTGTCCTCCTGCTCTTTGCTCAGTGACAAAGATCCACCTGTGACCTCGGGTCCTCAGACCAACCAGCCCAAGGAACATCTCACCAATTTTAAATTAGGTAAGTGGCCTCTTTTTACTCTCTTCTCCAACCTCTCTCGCTATCCCTCAACTTCTTTCTCCTTTCAATTTTGGTGCCACCCTTCAATCTCTCCCTTCTCTTAATTTCAGTTCCCTTCCCTTTCTGGTAGAGACAGAAGAGACATGTTTTATCTGTGAACCCAAAACTCCGGCACCAGTCATGGACTTGGGAAGACAGTCTTCACTTGGTGTTTAATCACTGCCGGGATGCCTGCCTGATTATTCACCCACATTTCAGAGGTGTCTGATCACCGTGGGGACACCTGCCTTGATCCTTCACCTTTGTGGCAGGCAACCTCCCTGGGAGCGAAAGTATCCCCCCCCACCCCTTCTCTCCATGTCTCTACCCTCTCTTTTCTCTGGGCTTGCCTCCTTCACTATGGGCAACTTTCCACCCTCCATTCCTCCTTCTTCTCCCTTAGCCTGTGTTCTCAAGAACTTAAAACCTCTTCAACTCACACCTGACCTAAAACCTAAATGCCTTATTTTCTTCTGCAGTACCTCTTGACCCCAATACAAACTCGACAATGGTTCCAAATAGCCAGAAAACAGCACTTTTGATTTCTCCATCCTACAAGATCTAGATAATTCTTGGCATAAAATTAGCAAATGGTCTGAGGTGCCTGACGTCCAGGCATTCTTTTACACATCAGTCCCTTCCTAATCTCTGCTCCCAATGCCACTCATCCCAAATCTTTCTTCTTTCTCTCCAGTCTGTTCTTTCAGTCTCCACCCCAGGTTTTGAGTCCTTTGGATCCTCCTTTTCTACGGACCCATCTGACCTCTCCCCTCCTCCCCAGGCTGCTCCTTGCCAGGCTGAGCCAGGTATCAATTCTTCCTCAGCCTCCGCTCCCCCATCCTATAATACTTCTATCACCTCCCCTCCTCACACCCAGTCCAGCTTACAGTTTTGTTCCACGACTAGCCCTCCCCTACCTGCCCAAAAATTTCCTCTTAAAGAGATGGCTGGAGCTAAAGGCATAGTCAAGGTTAATGCTCCTTTTTCTCTATCAGACATTTCCCAAATCAGTTAGCTTTTAGGCTCTTTTTCATCAAATATAAAAACCCAGCCCAGTCCGTGGCTTGTTTGGCAACAACCCTTAGATGTTTTACTGCCCTAGACCCAGAAAGGCCAGAAGGCCATCTTATTCTCAATATGCATTTTATTACCCAATCTGCTCCTGAGATTAAATAAAGCTCCAAAAATTAGATTCCGGCCCTCAAACCCCACAACAGGACTTAATTCACCTTGCCTTCAAGGTGTACAATAATAGAGAAGAGTTGCAATTACTTGCCTCCACTGTGAGAGAAACCCCAGCTACATCTCCAGCACACAAGAACTTCAAAACACCTAAGCCACAGTGGCCAGGCATTCCTTCAGGACCTCCTCCCCCAGGATCTTGCTTCAAGTGCCGGAAATCTGGCCACTGGGCCCAGGAATGCCCACAGCCCAGGATTCCTGCTAAGCCATGTCCCATCTGTGTGGGACCCCACTGGAAATCAGACTGTCCAACTTGCCCAGCAGCCACTGCCCCTGGAACTCTGGCCCAAGCCTCTCTGGGTGACTCCTTCCCAGATCTTCTCAGCTTAGTGGCTGAAGACTGATGCTGCCCGATTGCCTCGGAAACCTCCTGGACCATCACAGATGCTTTGGGTAACTCTTACAATGGAGGGTAACTCCCCTTCTTAATTGATATGGAGGCTACCCACTCCACATTACCTTCTTTTCAAGGGCCTGTTTCCCTTGCCTCCATAACTGTTGTGAGTATTGACAGCCAGGCTTCTAAACCGCTTAAAACTCCCCAACTCTGGTGCCAACTCAGACAACATTCTTTTATGCACTCTTTTTTAGTTATTCCCACCTGCGCAGTTCCCTTATTGGGTCTAGGCATTTTAAATAAATTGTCTGCTTCCCTGACTATTCCTAGGCTACAGCCACACCTCATTGCTGCCCTTTTCCCCAGTTCAAAGCCTCCTTCACATCCTCCCCTTATATCTCCCCACCTTAATCCACAAGTATAGGACACTCTACTCCCTCCTTTGTGATCAATCACGCACCCCTTTCCATCCCATTAAAACCTAATCACCCTTACCCAGCTCAATGCCAATACCCCATCCCACAGCATGTTTTAAAAGGATTAAAGCCTGTTATCACTTGCCTGTTACAGCATGGCCTTTTAAAGCCTATAAACTCTCCTTACAATTCCCCCATTTTACCTGCCCAAAAACCAGACAAGTCTTACAGGTTAATTCAG
The DNA here is from genome assembly GCF_000001405.40 of Homo sapiens. NCBI lineage: Eukaryota > Metazoa > Chordata > Mammalia > Primates > Hominidae > Homo > Homo sapiens. The sequence continues at coordinate 88,346,359 of NC_000004.12, read as the reverse complement.
GATTTGCACCTTATCGACCAAATTGTCTTGCCTATCCATCCCATGGTGCCAAACCCATAAACTCTCCTATCCTCAATACCTCCCTCCACAACCCATTATTGTGTTCTGGATCTCAAACATGCTTTCTTTACTATTCCTTTGCACCCTTCAGCCCAGCCTCTCTTTGTTTTCACTTAGACTAACCCTGACACCCATCAGTCTCAGCAACTTACCTGGGTTGTACTGCCGCAAATCTTCATGGACAGCCCCCATTTCTTCAGTAAAGCCCTTTCTCATGATTTACTTTCTTTCCATCCATCTGCTTCTCACCCTATTAAATATTTTGATAACCTTCTACTTTATAGCCCCTCCTACAAATCTTCCCAACAGAACACCCTCCTGCTCCTCCAACGTCTATTCTCAAAAGGCTATCGTGTATCCCCCTCCAAAGCCCAAATTTCTTCCTCATCCGTTACCTATCTCGGCATAATTCTTCATAAAAACACACATGCTCTGTCTGCTGATCTTCTCTGGCTAATCTCCCAAACCCCAACTCCTTCTACAAAGCAACAACTCCTTTCCTTCTTGGGCATGGTTAGATACTTTCACCTTTGGATACCTAGTTTTAACATCCTGACTAAACCATTATATAAACTCACAAAAGGAAATCTAGCTGACCCCATAGATCCTAAATCCTTTCCCCATTCCTCTTTCCATTCCTTAAAAACAGCCCTAAAATCTGCTCCCACACTAGCTGTCCCTGACATATCCCAAAATTTTTCATTACACACAGCCAAAGTACAGGGCTGTGTGGTCAGAATTCTTACACAAGAGCCTGGACTGCACCCTGTAGCCTTTCTGTCCAAACAACTTAACCTTACTGTTTTAGCCTAGCCCTCATGCTTGCATGCAGCAGCTGCTGCTACTTTAATACTTTCAGAGGCCCTCAAAATCACAAACTGTGCTCAACTCACTCTCTACAGCTCTCATAACTTCCAAAATCTATTTTCTTCCTTACACCTGATGCATGTACTTTCTGCCCCCCGGCTCCTTCGGCTATACTCACTCTTTGTTGAGTCTCCCACAATTACCATTGTTCCTGGCCCGGACTTCAATCCAGCCTCCCACATTATTCCTGATACCACACCTGACCCCCATGACTGTATCTCTCTGATCCACCTGACATTCACTCCATTTCCCCATATTTCCTTCTTTCCTGTTCCTAACCCTGATCACACTTGGTTTATTGACGGCAGTTCCACCAGGCCAAATCGCCACTCACCAGCAAAGGAAGGCTATGCTATAGTATCTTCCACATCTATCATTGAGGCTACCACTCTGCCCCCCTCCACTACCTCTCAGCAAGCCGAACTCATTGCCTTAATTTGGGCCCTCACTCTTGCAAAGGGACTACATGTCAATATTTATATTGACTCTAAATATGCCTTCCATATCCTGCATCACCATGCTGTTATATGGGCTGAAAGAGGTTTCCTCGCTATGCGAGGGTCCTCCATCATTAATGCCTCTTTAATAAAAACTCTTCTCAAGGCCGCTTTACTTCCAAAAGAAGCTGGAGTCATTCACTGCAAGGGCCATCAAAAGGTGTCAGATCCCATCACTCAGGGCAATGCTTATGCTGATAAGGTAGCTAAAGAATCAGCTAGTGTCCCAACTTCTGTCCCTCGTGGCCAGTTTTTCTCCTTCTCATCAGTCACTCCCACCTACTCTCCTACTGAAACTTCCACCTATCAATCTCTTCCCACACAAAGCAAATGGTTCTTGGACCAAGGAAAATATCTCCTTCCAGCCTCACAGGCCTGTTTTATTCTGTCGTCATTTCATAACCTCTTCCATGTAAGTTACAAGCCACTAGCCTGCCTCTTAAAACCTCTCATTTCCTTTCCATCGTAAAAATCCATCCTCAAAAAATCACTTCTCAATGTTCCATCTACTATTCTACTACTCCTCAGGAATTTCTCAGGCCCCCTCTCTTCCCTACACATCAAGCTCAAGAATTTGCCCCTGCCCAGGACTGGCAAATTGATTTTACTCACATGCCCCGAGTCAGGAAACTAAAATACCTCTTGGTCTGGGTAGACACTTTCACTGGATAGGTAGAGGCCTTTCCCACAGAGTCTGAGAAGGCCACCATGGTCATTTCTTCCCTTCTGTCAGACATAATTCCTCGGTTTGGCCTTCCCACCTCTAAACAGTCAACCAGAAAGATCTCCTCACTGTCCTCTAAACAAACCAGGTTCATGGTTTTGTACCTGCTTCTGGTCTTGTCACTCTTCTCTTTAGAAACTCTCCTCCCCTTCTCTCCACAGATCCAAATTCCAGTGACCCCACAAGGTCATTCCCCTTTTCTGACTCCACCTGCCTATAGTGGCCTCCTCTTCTTTGCTGAACTCCTACTGCACTTGTCAGTAACATTCCACTGAGTTCTCAATGCTAGTGTGTCATTGTTTCTCTGTGCTTTCTATGTGTACATATTATGTTCTGTATGAGATTTCTTAGCCTCTGTAAATCCTTAGAATACCTAGCAGAGCTGAGCGCAGGGTGGAAGGTTGACACCCATGAACTATTTTTTATCTCGTAATATCACACATGGCAGCCATAATGCATTGCACCCCTTGCGGGATGAGGTGTGACAGCAAAACTGGCATAAATTTCTTCTTCCTTTTTCACAATTTCACAGCTACAAGATTCATTTTTACTATAGATCATGGTAACATCAGCACATAATTTTTTTTCTTATTAAGTAAAAAACTTACCTTTTCAATTAAAGGAAACACTTTCCAGCTGCTCTTTGGCATCTCTGAATTGCAAGCATCACTACTCTTGCACTTTGGGGCCATTCTTAAGTAAAAGAAGGGTTCCCTTAACACAAACACTGAGATACTGTGACTGTCCAACTGTTAAATAACAGGGCTGCCAAGTGACTCACAGGCAGGTACCACCACCTTAAACAGCGTGGATACACGGGACAAAGAAATCATTCATGTACCCAATGGGACAGAGCCAGACAGCATAAGATTTCGCCATGCTACTCAGAATGGAGTACAATTTAAAACTTATGAATTGTTATTTCTGGGTAATTTACTTAATATTTTTTGGAACATGGTCAACTGCAAGTAACTGAAACCTCAGAAAGCAAAACCATAGTGTCATGCGCATCTGTGTGAAGAGACCACCGAACAGGCTTTGTTTGAGCAATAAAGCTTTTTAATCACCTGGGTGCAGGCGGGCTGACTCCGGAAAGATAGTCAGCAAGGAAGATAGGGGTGGGGCAGTTTTATAGGATTTGGGTGGTTAGTGGAAAGTTACAGTCAAAGGGGGTTGTTGTCTTGTGGGCAGGGGTGGGGGTCACAAGGTGCTCAGTGGGGGAGCTTCTGAGCCAGGAGAAGGAATTTCACAAGGTTAATTGATCAGTTAAGGTGGGGCAGGATCAAATCACAATGGTGCAATGTCATCAGTTAAGGCATGAACCAGCCATTTTCACTTCTTTTGTGATGTTTCACTTGCTTCAGGCCATCTGGATGTATATGTGCAGGTCACAGGGGATATGATGGCTTAGCTTGGACTCAGAGGCCTGACATTCCTGTCTTCTTATATTAATAAGAAAAATAACATAAAATAGTGCTGAAGTGTTGAGACAACGAAAATTTTTAGGGGTGGTATGGAGAGATAATGGGCGATGTCTCTCAGGGCTGCTTCCAGCGGGATTAGGGTTGGCGTGGGAACCTAGAGTGGGAGAGATTAAGCTGAAGGAAGATTTTATGGTAAGGGGTGATATTGTGGGGTTGTTAGGAGGAGCATTTGTCATATAGAATGATTGGTGATGGCCTGGATATGGTTTTGTATGAATTTAGAAACTAAACGGAAGACACAAGGTCTGAATAAGAGAAGGAGAAAAATAGGTATTAAAGGACTAAGAATTGGGAGGACTCAGGACATCAAATTAGAGAGTGCCCAAGCAAGTAATTACTTGCTTGGTTGGCGAGTTTTTGGGCTCTATCCTTGAGTTTTTTTATGTTGTCATACACCAGGCCAGATTTATTTAGGTAAAAACAACACTGCTCATTTAAAAATATACAGAGTCCTCCTTTTTCAGCAGTAAGTCAAGGCCTTGGCAGTTTTGGAGGAAAGAGAAATGCAAAGCCAGCAATTGTTTGTTAAAGAAGGATTAGAAATGGCTAGGAGAGAGTGAGATTGATAGTGTGGTAGAGATAGCTGGGGAGAGGTAGAGGGTGGCATAAGAACGGGAACAAGAATAAGAGTAAGTATAAAACTAAAGAATAGGACTTCATCAGGGTGAAAGTATTGGAGTGTACTTTGCCACTGAAGTGAAAGGGGAGGTGCTAGGTTCTTTTTAACAACCAGCTTTCACAGGAACTAATAAAGTGAGAACTCGTACCCCGCACCCACCCTCCCAGACAGAGCATTAATCTATTTATGAGGGATCTGCTCCCATGACCCAAACACCTCCCATTAGGCCCCACTTCCAACACTGGGGATCAGATTCCATCACAAGATTTGAAGGGGACAAACATCCAAACTATAGCAGTGAGCAAATAAGCTTCTCCCTTAAACGAAAAACACACGGTACGTAATGCTAAAACCTCCCAGCTGTACCTTCTGACCTGTTGACTGGGCTTCCCATACACTCATTTTTCCTGCCCCTTGGGATTTTTAACTTCCAGTAAGACTCTTAAGTTAATTGCTTTTTCAAGGGCAACTTTAATCAGAATAGCCAGCTCTACAGACACATTACAGAAAAAGGAAAACCAGTTTTTTGTGTGTGTGTTAGGCTATTAAAAAAATAGTGGTGGGTTTTTTTTCCCCATTGGCTTTTTTCTCTCCATTATCATGCACGCCTTTCTGTTCAGGATTGAGGTCATCCATCTGCAATCTCATATCCTCTTGCTGGGTTCTGTCAAGTATTAGTCATAAGGCAGTCAGCTTGCTTGTGTACACTTCAACAGCTCTTTTTCACATCAAGCCTTCCAGTTGTCTCTGCTTATTTTAGCCGGGTGCTCAAAGTAGCAGCTGGTTGCCTGGCTATTCCTAGGCAGCTGAAAGCATTGTGAGGAGAACACAAATGAAGCAGGAAGGAATAATCTGAGCTTGATGCTAAGATTTTTGTCTAAGACCTTCTGACCAGGGTCTGTTTCCTAACTGCAATCTGTCCAAAATGTTACTTCCCATCACTCCACATATTATAGCTATCTGATAATTATTAAAATCTGAATATCAAAGTCATTTTTGTATGGAGGGAATAATTAACATATGTACCTTTCCAATATGGCCTTAAATACGCCCCCAAATTCCTTAGCTGTTAATTTTTTTCTCCCACCCTAAAATATAGGTATTTTTAATATTTACCCTGCCCATTTAATAGCAATAAGAGAAGTACATCAGTTACCTAAGTCAGAGATCAGCAAACTTCTTCTGTATAGGGCCAGATAGTCAAGCTTTGTGGGCCACACATTCTCCAATACAATTATTCAGCTCTGCTATGGTAGCATGAAAATATCCACATAATACGTAAATGAATGAGCATAGCTGTGTTCCAATAAAACTATTTATACTGTGGTATAATTTTTAAAAATCTATATTTAATTTCTGCCCTGGTTCCCATCATACAGCTCCTAAAATATGAGGCATTTCTAGAGTGGTAAGAGTATCTTTTGTACACTAATGAGATGACTGGTGGCCCCTAAATAGCTTCAGGATGGGGATTGGTCAGAAAAACTAGGGCATGATTAGAGAGTTGGAACTTTTAGCCACATTTCTTAATCTCTAGGGAGGGGAGACAAGCTGAAGGTTGAGCTGATCACCAATGGTCAACTGTAGGACCTAGATTTTAGTATCTGTGGGAGTCTTGGAAATAATCCCCTTCGATTACTATAACCATAATCAGTCATGTCTACATAATGACCATAATTACCCAAAAGGACTGAGTTGGAAAAGCTTCTAGATAGCTGAACTCATGGAGGTGCCTGGAGGTGGTATATCCGAAGAGGGCATAGAAGCTCTGTGCCCTTTTTCACATACCTTGCCCTATTCATCATTTCCATCTGGCTATTCATCTGCATCCTTTATACTATTTATTTATTTATTTTTGAGATGGATTCTAACTTTGTCACTGCACCATGAGTGCAGTGGTGCAATCTCGGCTCACTGCAACCTCTGCCTCCCAGGTTCAAGCGATTCTTCTGCCTCAGCCTCCAGAGTAGCTGGGATTACAGGCACGCGCCACCACACCCAGCTAGTTTTTGTATTTTTCGTAGAGACAGGCTTTCACTATGTTGTCCAGGCTGGTCTTGAACTCCTGACCTCAAGTGATCTGCCCACCTCAACCTCAAAAGTACTGGGATTACCGGCAAGAGCCACCATGCCTGGCCTGTACTATTCTTTATAATAAACCATTAAATGTAACTAAAGTGTTTCCCTGGATTCTGTGAGCCACTAGCAAATTAATCAAACCTGAAGAGGTGGTTGAGGGAACCTTGATTTATAGCCAGTCAGAAGCACAAATAACAACCTGGGGCTTTCTTTGTTTTTTTTTTTTGTTTGTTTGTTTTGAGACAGCGTTTCACTCTTGTCCCCCAGGCTGGAGTGCAATGGCGTGATGTTGGCTCACCGCAACCTCCACCTCCCGGGTTCAAGCAGTTCTCCTGCCTCAGCCTCCTGAGTAGCTGGGATGACAGGTGCTTGCCACCACGCCCAGCTAATTTTTTGTATTTTTAGTAGAGACGGGATTTCACCATGTTAGCCAGGCTGGTCTCGAATTCCTGACATCAAGTGATCCACCTGCCTTGGCCTCCCAAAGTGCTGGGATTACAGGCGTACGTCATCACACCTGGCCCTACAACCTGGGGCTTTTAATTGGTATCTGGAGTGCGGGCAGTCTTGTGGGACTGGGCCCTTAACCTGTAGGGTCTGATGCTATCTTCAGGTGGATAGTATCAGAATTAAATTGAATTATAAGACACTCAGTTGGCGTCCACTGGAGATTTGCTTAGTATGTGGAGAAAAACCTTTACACATCTGGTCACAGAAGTGTGCAACGGTGAAAAACAGTTTGTGCTTTCAAATTTGAATTTCATATAATTTTCATGTGTTACAAAGTATTTTTTTCATTGACTGTTTATAATCAGTGAAAAATATAAAAATCTATTCTTAGCTCAGAGGCTATACAAAAATAAGAGGGGAGGAAAGCAGGCCTGATCTGGCTCATGGGCCATACTTTCCCTACCTTTGGCCTAGGTTGGCAAACTGTAAACTTGAGGTTACAGTTATTAGAACCTAATATCCAATGTGATGGTATTAAGAGGTGGGGCCTTTGGGAAGTGATTAAATCATGAGGCGTTCACCTTCATGAAGGGAATTAATGCTCTTATAAAAGAGACCAAGGAGAGTTTGTTTGCCCCTGCTGCCATGTGGGGACACACAGAAGGCACCATCTACGAAGAATGGGCCCTCACCAGACACCAAATCTGCTGGTGCCTTGATCTTGGACTTCCCAGCCTCCAGAATTGTGAGCAATACATTTCTGTCATTTGTAAATTGCCCAGTGTAAGGTATTTTGTTTTAGCAGCCTGAATGGACTAAGAGAGTAAGCATATATTATTTATGCATTCTGAAAGGAACAATAACACTATTTTTCCTTCAAAGAAAATGTTTAACTTTAATGTTCATTGAAGTGCTAATTCTAATATTAAAAAATTAAAAACAACCTAAATATCCAATAAGAGAGAAGGCACTAAGTGCCTCTGTACATCAGAATACTAATTGGCCTTTAAGATGATGTCGTCAGTGGTAGAGAATGCTGGTTTTTGAAGTGGATAGACCTGAGTATACATTCAGACTCTCATTTACCAGCTGAGGATCTAAAGCAGCCCCCTTCAATTTCCTGGATTTTTCTCATAAGTAAAATTGAAAAGGTAATGTAACTTTGTTATCGTGTCATGCTTAACATACAGTAAGACTCTTTTAATATTATCTATCACAATTGTTATTTGGGGGGATTACATGGGATTTAAAATTTTTTATGCAATGAATATGTATTTTTTCATAATAATAGAAAATGACTTTTTTATTATAATGAAAGAATTTCCCTCTGTAGAGAGAAATCATTTCTAAAAATTACAGTCACTATGGCATCTACAGCAAAGTACCTGTAGCAGTACAATGTAGGTTAGGCTTGGGAGAGAAAGGCTTGCTGCGGATACCAATGACAGGTGAAGTCCATATGTCTCTCTGGTGCATCCCAGGGAGAAGTACTGGACAGGCCTACCTATGACAGGCCTTCTCTATGAGAAAAGACAGAAGAGAGGCCAGATGGAATAGTCACTAGAGAAAAAAATGAGTTCTATTCTCTAGTAGGGAAAAAGCAAGACACACTGTAGCTTGGTCAAGAAATAGTTATGGAATGAATGAATGAATATCAAGATTGTTCATTTATAATCTGATTGTTTGGACCATAGAGTGTGAATTAAGAAGAAAATTCCTTATTCTATATTTTTGAAGAGGAACTTGAATTGTGGAGAAATTGTATGGAAAAATATTCATAATCTGATTAAAGGGTTTATAAGGATGTGACTGGTGTGATCCATTTATTCATTCAATAAATAAGTTTTATTGAGCATCTACATTGTGCCTGCACTCATGATATGCCCAATCACAAATCAAGATAAGTCTTGTTTTTAATTTGGATAACTTTGCCCTCTAATCCCAGTTGTATGATATTTGTGTTCGCTATGTGGTTAGCAGTTTAAGAAGACAATTTAAATGGTCTTTGGAACTTATCTCACTGGATGAGAAGTTGAGTTAGGATCAGTAAAATATCACTAACTGTACCTAGGCAGTGTGATGTAGTATATACCCAAGTGTGAGCTGTGACATCAGACTACCTGAGTATCAAAATCTGTTTCTACCACTCACCGGCCATGTAATATTAAGCAGTTTCTTCATCTCTTTAAATGTCCATGTTTTAACTGTAAAACAGGGATAATAGTAGCATTGACTTAAGAGGATTCTTTTTTCTAAGTAAGAATATTATACAAAGAATGCCTTGCATGGTGCCTAACAATAGCAAGCACCAATGACTAATAAATGTCAGCTATTGTTATTATTTTACCCTTGTGTAGCACCATAAAGAAGGAGACAATTGAAATGGAGCAAACTAGGACGTGATGGTGAACAGCTGTGGGCCCAACTACTTGGGAGGCTGAGGCAGGAGGATCCTTTGAGCCCAGGAGTTCAAGGTTGCAATGAACTATGATTGTGCTACCACACTCCAGCTTGGGTGGTAGAGCAAGAACCCATCTCAAAAAAAAAAAAAAAAAGAAAGAAAGAAAGGAGCAAACTGGAACTGGGCCTGAGAAGACAATCAAAGTACCAAGATTACAGCTTGTTGACATCTCCTGCTCAAGACAGAACTTCAATGACTAAACTTTCACAGAAGATTCTTCAAAGAGGGTATTACAGTTTTGTATGCATAGATTTGGCCTTATCAAGGGGCATGATTTTGGAACCACATGACTACTAGCAAGTGGTCTTCTTAGGGGTGACCCACACTTAGAAAAGGGATAACCATCAACATCAGGAGAACTTAATAGGGGGGTCATTGTGAGGCAGAGCTTCTTTGAGAAACTCCCTTCCTTCCTACCTTCCTTCCTTCCTTCCTTCTTTTTCTCTCTCTTTCTTTCTTTCTCCTTTTTTTTCTTTGAGACACAGTCTCACTCTGTCACTCAGGTTTGAGTACAGTGGTGCAATCACAGCTCACTGCAACCTCTGCCTCCCAGGCTCAAACAATCCTCCCATCTCAACCTCCCACAGACCTAGGACCACAGATGTGCAGTGCCACACCTGGCTAATTTTTTTGTTTGTTTTATTTTTTGTAGAGACAGGGTCTTGCCATGTTGTCCAGGTTGATCTTGAACCCCTGGGCTCAAGTGATTGTCCCACCTCAGCCTCCCAAAGTGCAGGGATTACAGGTATGAGCCACCATGCACAACCCTTTCTTTCTTAGTCACACAAGTATTGCCGTCTGGCAGAGGGAAGAGGCAGCTGCAAACCATGTGCTAGAGAGCCCCATTGTACATTTCTCATGTACAATGAGATTAATTTCATTCATTCAACTAATGTTTATTGAGTACTTATTTTACTCTGTGTCAGGCAAGATGCTATGAACTGAGAATATGATATTAAAGCGGAAAAAATTATTCTACCCTTCCTGCCCTGCCCTCGTGGACTTCAGTTCCAGTGGAGAGAAAGACATCAATCACATGATCACCTAAATAAATGTAAAAATATAATTGTGATAAGTGCTATTAAGGAAAAGTATGTGATGTTATGAAATAGTGTAATAGAGAAACTTTAGTCGAAGAGATTATAGAAGACTTCCTGGAGGAAGAAATGCTAGGAAATGATGAAAGGAAGCAGTGCTCAGAGTGAACAGCATGATGTGCAAAGGTCCTACAGTGGAAGGAAGTATGACACCTGCTAGAGTTTGTATTTTTTTTTTTTTTTTGGAAGAGTCTCGCTCTGTCTCCCCAGGCTGGAGTGCAGTGGCTCAATCTCAGTTCACTGCAATCTCCGCCTCCCGGGTTCAAGCAATTCTCATGCCTCAGCCTCCTGAGTAGCTGGGATTACAGGTGTGTGCCACCATGCCCAGCTAATTTTTGTATTTTTAGTAGAGACAGGGTTTCCCCATGCTGGCTAGGCTGGTCTCGAACTCCTGATCTCAAGTGATCCGCCCACCTCGGCCTCCTAAAGTGCAGGGATTACAGGCATGAGCCACGGCATCTCGCCTAGTTTGGACGTTTGACCCCTCTGAATCTCATGTTGAAATTTGATCCCCAATGTTGGAGGTGGACAGAGTGAGAAGTGTTTGGGTCATGGGGGCGGATCCCTCATGAATAGCTTAGTGCTGTCCTCACAGTAATGAGTGAGTTCTTACTCTATGAGTTTCTGAGAGAGCTGGTTGTTAAAAAGAGCCAGGCACCTCCCCTACTCTCTCTCCCCATGTGATCTCTACACTGGCTCCCCTTCTCCTGCGCCATGAGTGGAAGGAGGCTGCGGCCCTCACCAGAAGCAGATGCTGGCAGCATGCTTCTTGCACAGCCTGCAGAACTGTGAGCCAAATAAACGTCTTTGCCTTGTAAATTACCCAGTCCCAGGCATTTATTTATAGCAATGTAAACAGAGTAAGACAACACTTTTGAGAGAAAATGTCACAGTGACCGAAGACAGCTAAGATGTCCTAATAAGTGCTAATATTTATTGAGCAAACATTTATTGAGCTAATATTTATTGTACCTACTAAGTTAATTCTAAGCACTTTACATTGATCCTCATGACAATTCTAATTGGAAATACTATTGTTACCCCTGTTTTACAGATGAAGAAACTGAGGCATAGAGGAGTTAAGTAACTTAGGCAAGGTTATCCAGTTAGTAAGATGTAGAACTGAAATTAGGATTAGTTGGAAGAAGTAGGAAAGGACCAAAACGTGCAGTGGTTCACAGACCAGGTTAAAAGATTTTTATGATAAGAGAAATAAGAAGTCACTGAAGTGTGCATTTTATTTCAAAACGGTTACTCCATTTACATTTCAAAAAGGTCACTCCAGCTGTAGCATGGAGAACTAGTTGAAAGGTTGGGAAGAGTGGATGCAGGTGACTGCTGTTGTCTGGGCAAGAGCTGACAGAAGCAGGGCTAGAGAATTGGCCCTGGGCTGGACATGGTGGCTCACACCTGTAATCCCAACACTTTGGGAGGCCTAGGCGGGCGGATCACTTGAGGTCAGGAGTTCAAGACCAGCCTGGTCAATATAGTAAAACCCCACCTCTACTAAAAATACAAAAATTACCTGGGCATGGTGGCACACACCTGTAGTTCCAGCTACTTGGGAGGCTGAGGCATGAGAATCGCTTGAACCTGGAAAGTGGAGGTTGAAGTGAGCTGAGATCACGCCACTGCACACTCCAGCCTGAGTGAGAGAGTAAGACTCTATCTCCAAAAAAAAAAAAAAAGAGTTGGCCTTGGAGAAGGGCAGAGTGGTTGTGTCTGAGATAAAGTGGATGAGGAGGGATGAGGGCATGAGGGAGAGGATGAGGGCATGATAGGGAGGAGGTCCTGAGGATGATCACTGGGCTTCTTGCTGGTGTCACTGTGTGAACAGTGGTGAAGTGGTGTCATTTTCTCATTCAGAGAACACAGGAAGGAAGAGGAGCACACCTAGGTGTAAGGAGGAACATCATGAATTGGAGATATTTTGAGACATCTCCACTGGAGATGTCAGAAACCAATTGCCTTTGTGGGGCTGGGGCTCAGATAGGTCTGTACCAGAGATTTAAACTGGGGAGTCATCTATGATGAGTAGTGCAGTAATTAGAGACAGGGAAGCTGATGAGATTGCTTAAGGAAAGTGAGGAGTGAGGAGAAGATTGCCCAATATCTGGGAGGAAGCCCAAGCTTTCCTTGGCCTTGATTCAGTCTTTCACCTCTTTTTTCTGTCTTACTGATCCACACCCCCTCTTCTGTAAAATCCAAGTGGAAGTCACAAGAAGAAACATGAAGAAAATAATATAATGGATTGAGACTGGGCATGGTGGCTCATGCTTGTAATCCCAGCACTTTGGGAGGCCAAAGTGGGCAGATCGCCTGAGGTCAGGAGTTCAAGACCAGCCTGGCCAACATGGTGAAATCCCATCTCTACTAAAAATACAAAAATTAGCCAGGTATGGTGGCACACGCCTATAATCCCAGCTACTCAGAAGGCTGAGGAAGGAGAATGGCTTGAACCTGGGAGGTGGGGTTGCAGTGAGCTGAGATCGTGCCATTGCACTCCAGCCTGGGTGACAAGAGTGAAACTATGTCTCAATAAATAAATAAATAAATATAAAAATAATATAATGGATTGAGTTAACCCTTGGGACACCTTCACTTCTTTCTTTTCTTTTTTTTCACTTTAAAAAAATTTTTATTGACAAAAATTATACATATTTATGGTATACAATTTTTTTTCTACAGGTTTTTGGGGAACAGGTTGTGTTTGATTACATGGATAAGTTCTTCAGTGGTGGTTTCTGAGATTTTGGTGCACCCATCACCTGAGCAGTGTACACTGTACCCAGTGTGTAGTCTTTTATCCCTCACCCGCCTCCCACCCTTTCCCTCCGAGTCCCCAAAGTCCATTGTATTATTCTCATGCCTTTGCATCCTCATAGCTTAGCTCTCCATCTTTTTCTTTTCATCAAGTTTGAAGGATTCCTTGTAAAAGGAAATCGTTATCTTCGAAGTACTATTATGCTGGCTGGGCATGGTGGCTCACACCTGTGATCCCAGCAGTTTGGGAGGCCAAGGCAGGTGGATCACTTGAGCACAGGCCAGCCTTGGCAACAGGGCACACTCCTGTCTTGAGAAAGAAAGAGAGAAAGAAAGAAAGAGAGAAGGAAGGAATGAAGGAAAGAAAGAAAGAAAGAAAGAAAGAAAGAAAGAAAGAAAGAAAGAAAGAAAAAAAGAAAGAAAGAAATGAAAGAAAGAAAGAAAAGGAAGGAGGTAGGGAGGGAGGGAAGGAAGGAAGGAAGAAAGGAAGGAAGGAGGGAAGGAAGGAAGGAAAGAAAAAGAGAAAGAAAGAAAGAAAGGAGGGAGGGAGGGAAGGAAGGAAGGAGGGAAATTCTATTATGCCTTAATCTTGTGAGCATCTTCTTAATTCTACTCAAAAAACATTCTTCCTGTAAAATGACAAATGTAAACCAAAAATAAAATTCTGAGCCACCCCCCCCCAACCCCCGCAACCATCTGTATGACTTCCTCCTTAGCCAGGGAACTTTAAAATTTAACCTGAAAGACTGGTTCAGGCCATGACGCGAAGTGGGATCAGACATGCCTCATTACACCTCTCCAGTATTAACATCAATACAGACCTTAAGTCTGAAAAGAAACGTTTGGAGGGAGGGGGTAGAATCAAGGGAACAAAAAAGAAGAGAAACATTGACTATTTATTCTCTACCTGGAAGCTTCATCTGCATGATAAAACTTTGGTCTTCATAACTTCTTATCGCAAGGCAGACATTTCTATCCATTGATAACTCTTCCACCCAATTGCCAATTAGAAAAACTTTAAATCTACCTATAACCTGGAAGGCCCCCACCCCCCTTCAAGTTGTCTTGCCTTTCTGGATTGGACCAATGTATATCCTAAATGTATTTGAAGTCTCATGTCTCCCTAAAATGTATAAAACCAAGCTGCACCCTGACACCTTGGGCACGTGTTCTCAGGACCTCCTGAGAGCTGTGTCACAGGTCATGGTCACTCATATTTGGCTCAGAATTAATCTCTTCAAATATTTTACAGACTTTGATTCTTTTCATCGACACAACTTAGATTAAGCACACTCAGAAAATAACCTTCCAGACAGTGCTCCCAAACGCTTAGAAGAAACACTTCAGTTTCTAAAGGAGGTTGTCTTATAGACACGGAATAACTTGAGCACTCAGAGAGGTTGACTCCTTATTGTTTTTAAAGTCATGATTACCAGAGTTATTTCATCATAGCCTGCTAGGCATTGAACAAGGAAAGACAACTACCAAGGACAAATATACATCTAGTTTTTATAACATCTTTTCATGCTATTACTTAAATAGCTCTGGCATGGGCACTTATCTAACACGAGAGTTTTTACAAAGAAAAATCTGAACTTTAAAGAAAAAAAGAAAAACAAAAACGAACACACAAAAAACCTCTTTTGGTCCATAAGCCATTGAGGATGAACTCTACTCTCTATCTCTAAGTTTATTAGTGAAGTTTTTTCCCATTCTGACGGGGAATTGTGAAGGGAGTGAGCAATGCTGAAATGGAAACTAAAGAGGTGAGCAGAGTGAGCCATGTCATTATTTTCTGGACCAGTGATATCAACAAAGCACATAGTGACAACTTCAATATTGTGACAGTCTGAGTTATATTTATTGAGTGTATCCAGAGTGAGTTGAACAGTTCTTAGCAGGAAACAAAAAAGATGGCACATTCGAATTAGGACAGTCCCAGTACTTTGATGAAAGGGACTACATACAAACATGGGAAGGGTGCAGGAAAACCAAATGGAATAGCACAGCATTCCCCACCTGCTATTACCTCTAGGCATGAAGGGACAAGTTGAGAAAATGGTTAACAAAACCCAGAAAGAGAAACTCAAGAAAGTTTGTGGAGAGGGCTACCTTGAGGAGAGCTCTGATCTTTGATGGAAGGACATGGCCAGCTGTGAGTGACCCAGCCTGGAGGCAATTAAGCAAGTAAATACCCTCACTTCACTCCATCCTCTTTGCTGGGGGGCCCCACCAGCCAATCACTGATGTGGTTCATACAGGTCAGCCTCTTGGGTCAGAGAGCAGGATAGAGAAGGGAGGGGAGGAATGAAAGAGACAAACTGGAAGACAACAAACAGAAAGAGGAAGAGAGCAAGTCAATGACTAAAATCAGTGGATAGAAGGTGCTAGAGTGCGGGTGGGATGGTGGCATTGGTTTCATGTAGGAAAGCCTGAGAGGTTGGCTCCAGGAGTTACAGTTTTATGTGTCCATAATCAATATGGCAATACCAATGCCAAAACTAGTGGATGCGATCAAATTAAAGCTGTATGACTATCTCCTGGAAATTTTATAGAAATTAGACAGAAACAAGTTACTTCCAAGGTCCCTTGCAGACTTGTGTACTTTCATCCTATACTTGTTGAATGTCAAGTAAAAGTAATATCTTGGCAAAGGTACTAAAGAAAGACATGGGTTTTCTTTGTTTTTGGTAAAGTAGATTTTCAAAAACTCATAACCAAACTGAAAAATCTCTATACTTAAAAATATTCATCACAGCAAAGAGAAAAATGCTGGAAGAAACTTCACTTCTAATAGTAGGGGAATACTTAAGGAAATGATCATATGTTCATTCGAAGCATTATTTTGCAGGATTAAACAATTACGAATACAAGGAATTGTGAAACAGTATGGAAAATGCATATGATATAATGTTAGGTAAAAAAAAGCAGGAATTGAAGTTTTATATATACTATGCTTACAATTAAAAATATATATATGGGTTGGTCTGAGTGCAGTTGGTGTTTACAACTACTTAATCACAACCAGTTATGGATTTCTTTATTCCATCTTCACTCCCACTGCTCCACTTGACTAGCCTTAAAAAAAATGAAGAAAAGAATGAAGTTACTAGAAATTAAAATAGTTTATTAAGGTGGTGAAAAAACAGAAGATTATTTCCTCTCTTAATTTTTCAAATTTTTAATAATGTAAGGTCACATTTTATTTAAATATTTTAACATGTTAGATACTTAAATATGTTTTATTTATTTTCATTATTTAAATATACTATTTTTATTTTATTTATTTATTTATTTATTTATTTATTTACATATAGAGACAGGGTCTCAGTATGTTACCCAGGCTGGTTTTGAACTCCTGGATTCAAGAGATCCTCCCACCTTGGCCTCCCAAAATGCTGGTATTACAAGCATAAGCCACTGAACCCAGCCTAAATATATTATTGTTATTATTTTGAGATAGGGTCTTGCTCTGTCACCCAGGCTAGCATGCAGTGGCATGAACTCTATAGTGGCTTACTGTAGCCTTGACCTCCTGGGCTCAACTGATCCTCCTGCCTCAGGCTCCCAAGTAGCTGGGACCACAGGCATATGCCACCATGCTTGCCTAATTTTTTTTTTTTTTTTTTTGTAGAGATGGAATCTCACCGTGTTTCCCAGGCTGCTTTCGAACACCTGGGCTCAAGTGATCTTCCCACCTTGGCCTCCTAAAGTGCTGGGACTATAGGCGTGAGCCACTGCACTCAGCCTAAATATATTATTTTTAAATGCGATAAAGATTGTACCTTATGGAAGACTGATAATTTTTCATACCTTTATGTGGATGAAGGTTGTCTGGGTATATACATAGTAAAACACACACACACACACACACACACACACACACACACACATATATATATATATACACACACACATACATAGGTTTTTGTTCATGGTTCCTGGCTCATAACTCCTATGGCTCTTGTTATAATGTTGGGGCACTTTAAACCTCAGAATCAGGCCTCAGAAAACAGAATCTCTCTGACATTTTCCTGCCCTCCTTTCACCTGCTCCTTTTTCTCTCCAAGGCAGGAATCTTCTCTTTTTTTGTCTTGGAGCTGGCCATAAAGAAATTTTCTGACCCACCTTGTCTGATTATAGGTCATAACTTATTTCAGAAGGGGCTCTGCCCCCTACCCTGGAGGAAGGAATGTTGCACAGAGAGGCCAAGAGAAATGTGAGCAGACAGGCCTTGCTGGGTTCCCCCGTTCAGTCTGTTGGTATTAGATCATACTTTTTTTGTCTAATCACATTTCTACATGGTTGTCAATCATGCCTATCTAATGAAATCTCCATCAAAGGCCCAAGAGTACAGGATTCAGAGAGCTTCCAGATAGCTGGACACGTGGAGGTTCCTGGAGGATGTTGCTCTCAGAGAAGGCATGGAAACTTTGCACTCCTTTCTGCATCCTGTACCCTATGCATCTCTTCTCTTCATCTATATCCTTCATAATAAACTGGGAAACGTGTTTCTCGGAGTTCTGTGAGCAGCTCTGGCAAATTAATTGAGCCCAAAGAGGGGGTCATGGGAATGGCAACTGGAAGCCAGTTGGTCAGAAGTTCCCGAGGCCTGAACTTGCAACTGGTGTGTGTATGGGCTGGGGGGGGGGGGGGGTCTTGTGGGACCGAGCCCTCAACCTGTGGGGTCTGATGGCATCTTCAGGTAGATAGTGTCAGAATTGGATTGGAGGACACTCAGCCGCTGTCCCCGGCAGAATTGCTTGCTTGCCTGGTGTGTGGGAAAAAACTCACACTCATTTGGTCACAGAAGTCTTCTGTGTGGATTGTTGTTAACACAGTGAGAGCCCAGAAAAAAACACTGTGAAAAAAAATCCAGTGGAACCAATTCCTAATGGATCAGTCCGCCTTTTTACATCTGAGAACAGTCTGCAGCTCTGCCCAAAAATATAATGTTTGTGTTCAGGGGAGGGGAGTTCCTCTCATTACCATCCTGCTACCTTCTACAGTTAGGACCCTCCAATGTTGAAGCTCGTGATTAGTACCTGGGTTTCTTGTTAAGAAGTAGATATCTGGGCTCAACCCCCAGGGAATCTGATTTAGTAAGTCTGGGTGAGACCCAGGAATATGCATTATTAGAAGCTTCTAAGAAATGTTGATGCAGGTAGTCCTTAGACCATTTTTTTCCAAACACAGTCTTTGGTTCTCATCTAAAGGCCTACATGATTAATTAATCAGTTTCCACCCAAGGACAATAAGCAAAAATTACACAAACTCGCATACACACACAAACATACACACATAATTAAGGAAAGGTTACACTGATAAAGCCCTAAGGCTAATTTAAGCAGAATGCAGGACATACATTGGGCAATCCCATACTTCTGAGCCCTGTTAACCAAATGCAGAGCCACACCTTTTGGCTACACAGTGGCCTTGTTCATCAGCATAGCACTGGAGCAAGGGTGGAACTCTTCATCTGCCAACTGCCTCATTAAACAAGGATCAGAGGTTCAGATAAATTTTTTAAAAATTAAAAGATTCTATGATTCTTCCAGTGCTTGAAAAGATCCTAAATGCCTAATGTTCTTTTTTTTTTTTTTTTTTTTTTTTTTTTTTGAGACGGAGTCTCGCTCTGTCGCCCAGGCCGGACTGCGGACTGCAGTGGCGCAATCTCGGCTCACTGCAAGCTCCGCTTCCCGGGTTCACGCCATTCTCCTGCCTCAGCCTCCCGAGTAGCTGGGACTACAGGCTCCCGCCACCGCGCCCGGCTAATTTTTTGTATTTTTAGTAGAGACGGGGTTTCACCTTGTTAGCCAGGATGGTCTCGATCTCTTGACCTCATGATCCACCCGCCTCGGCCTCCCAAAGTGCTGGGATTACAGGCGTGAGCCACCGCGCCCGGCCGCCTAATGTTCTTAAAGTAGAAGAATATCTTTGTAAGTGCCAGAAATTTGAATTCCTGACTCTCACCATCTAAAAATCTGTTATACAGATTTTCCATCAAATGGTCTATGGGTTCTACCCCTCCGGGAGCACCTCTGAGAGTGGGAAGCTCAGGGAGTTCTGCAGCAGCTCATTTTACCTTTGATGATCTTAACTGTTAAGAGTTCTCTACTGACAGAACTCCAGTCTGAAATTATTGGCTTGGTTTTTGCCCTGGTTCCTATCCACTTCAAATTTTGAAAACAATGATATTCTCTACCCTGGATCTTCCTTTGCCAAGCTCAACTTTCTAGCTCCTTCAATTATTCTTCATTTATCATGTTTTCAACACTTCACACCTGGTTGCCAGCTTTTGAATACTTTAGTTTATCAATATCTAAGTGTGGCTCACAGAATGGAAAATAAGGCTTCAAGATCAGTGAGTAGATACGTGAAGACTGCATTGCAGTTTAATTATTTTGCAAGATTAGGGCTTGGGATAAGAGAAAAAGAAGAAAAAAAAGATCAATGAGTAGAATTCTTGAATGCAGTTACTGATTTTCTGTAGCCTTTGCAGAGAAGGTATGGAAAAAGAGAAGAGTTTTCCCTAATTTGTGTAATTATTATTATCATTTATTATTCATCCATTCATTTATTTGATAATTGTATATCATGTATCCATTCTGTAAATCACTAGGCTGGGTGTCAGAGATTATTTTTAGGAAAAGACAAGAGGAGCTTCACTTGGGACAGCAGGTAAGAAACAATTATAGTTGACCCCTGAATAATGTGGGGGCTAGGGATGCTGACCCCACACACTCAAAAATCTGAATATAACTTTTATTTACCCAAAACTTAACTAATAGCCTACTGTTGACTAGAAACCTTACTGATAACATAAGTTAATTAACATGAATTTTTTATATGTATTATATAGTATATTTTCACAATATAAAATAAGCCAGAGAAAACAAAATGTTCTTATGAAAATCATAAGGAAGAAAAAATATATTTACTATTCATTAACTGGAAATGGATCACCATAAAGTCTTTATACTCAACGTCTTCACATTGAGTAGGCTAAGGAGGAAGAGAAAGAGGAGAAGTTGGTCTTGTTGTCTCTAGGGTGGCAGAAGGAGAAGAAAATCCATGTATAATTGGACCCATGCAGTTCAAACCCATATTGTTCAAGAGCCAACTGTATAATATAGAGTAAAGACGGTTAGAATAAGGGTAAGCATAGGAAACTATAAGAGATCCTTTTCATCTGACATATATGAAAGTGTGGGAGTCAGGGAAGTCTCCTTGGAAGGATGACATCTAGAATATCCTCATCTAGACTAGCTGAGCAAACATTTCACGCACAGAACTGTACAAGGCTATTCTGACACAGAGAGATTTAAATCATACCCATGCACAAGCTCTCTCACATAGAGAAGTCTGAACAGGCCTGAACCATAATTGTGAAATCACATTTAGCATTGGGCATAGAGAGCTAAGGAAAGCCCAAGATCCAAAGTTGTTCACTCACAATATCAAGTGGTAGAGGGTGACATTAAAGATATATGTCAGGACTCCTGTTGTAAGTGAGAGAAAGCCAACTCAAATTAGTTTAAATTTAGAAAAAGATTGATTGGCTCAATACCTGAAAGTTCAAGGAGTGAGCTTTGGGAAAGGTTTGATTCAGGCACTCAAATGATGTTAACAAGACGTTGTCTTTCTCACCCATTCCTAGGCTGTCTTTCTTCTGTGGCAGTTCCATTCCCAGGCAGCTACGTGGTGACTTCAAGCTTATGATTCTAGTGCAGCAAGTCCAACAGAAGGAGGGTGTGTGTGTGTGTGTGTGTGTGTGTGTGTTTAAAGACGGTGTCTTGCTGTGTGGTCCAGGCTGTTTTTGAACTCCTGGCCTCAAGCAACCCTCCTGCCTCAGCCTCCCAAAGCACTGGGATTGCAGGCATGTGCTACCATACCTTACCAACAGAAGTTTATCCTAGTGCCAGGATTGACCACTCTGTCTTAGCTTGGTTTGTGGAAACACCTCTGAACCAATTATTGTGGCCAGGAGAATTTGTTACTCCTCTAAGGCTGGCCTAGATAACACTCTTACTTATGGAGCCAGTGAGTAGATTTAACTCCATCTGAACTACGTAGTAGAATACTGGGAGGGAATAGTTCCCCCAGGAAAATAAGAAAAATAAAGTACTTTTAGTAGAAGTAGGAATAAACATTGGGCCTGAAACAAACAAATAAAACAAAACAAAACAGTTATCCCATACACAGAGATTGAGAGAAAACATACTCATGTTTTTGGAATACAGTCATCTGGGTGGCTCAATTTTATAGAGTCCTAAACACTAGGTGCTACAGAAGATGCAAAGATAAGCAAGAGATAGTCCTTACTCTTAAGGAGCAGTTGTCTACAATTTGGCCCTCAGGTCTGACATCACTCATCTCTCGAATCATGCCATGAGAATTTCTTTTTCTTTTCTTTTTTTTTTTTATTTTTGAGACAGAGTTTCACTCTTGTTACCCAGGCTGGAATGCAGTGGCGAGATCTCGGCTCACTGCAACCTCCGCCTCCGAGGTTCGAGCGATTCTCCCGCCTCAGCCTCCCAAGTAGCTGGGACTACAGGCACGTGCCACCACACCTGGTTAATTTTTGTATTCTTTCAGTAGAGACGGGGTTTCACCATGTTGGCCAGGCTGGTTTCAAACTCCTGACCTCAGAGGATCCGCCTGCCTAACATTTGGTATAGCCACTCCTCAAATACCTTTGCCTGAAGGAGGCAGGATGACTACGTAAAATAACATTTAGCAGGAATCCCAGGACTCTAATGATTGCAACCTCATGTTGCTAACATGATCTTGTAGAGACCAAGGGAAAACTTCCCTTTTACCCTCTGAAGTTTCACTGAAAAATCAACTGATGAAAGGAAGATTAGTAAGAGAAAAGGTATATACAAATGTATTGGCATGCATGGGGGAAAAAAAATCACAGATTGATTACTCCAGCCCTCCAATGGGGATGCAGAAGCTTATATACTATCTTGAAGTTACACAAAGCCTGGGAGCTCAGAGCACGACCAAAAACACGTTAAGGTGGTAGTTAAATCAGGTCATAGTGGCAAGACAGGTTATGGGTGGCTAGCAAAAGTGGCCTTGTAGATGAAACTTCACAGATAGTAGCCATCAGAGAAAATAGATGGTAACATTTCTTTTAGACCTTTAAAATATCAGACTCTCAGTTAATCCTTCCTAGATCAGATGCGAGATGGCTTCAGAGAAAGCTTGGCTGCACCAATGCAGCTGTTTCTCTGCAGATGCAAATTTCCTCCTACAAAAGACAGCTTTTCAGCTATTCTTCCATTTCCAGCCCTTCTATTTTATTTTATTTTTGAGACAGGGTCTTCCTTTGTCACCCAGGCTGGAGTGCAGTGGCCCAATCTTGGCTCACTGCAACTTCCACACACACAATCCCACAAGGCTCAAGTGATCCTCCTGCCTCAGCCCTTTGAGTACTGGGAACTACAGGCGCGCGCCACCATGCCCGGCTAATTTTTCTATTTTTTGTAGGGTTTCGCCATGTTGCCCAGGCTGGTCTCGAACTCCTGGACTCAAGCGATCCACCCACTTTGGCCTCCCAAAGTGCTGGGGTTGTAGGCATGAGCCACCACACCCAGCCATCCAGCCCTTCTAAATAGCCATCGTGAACTATGTCCAGGAAATATGTATTTTGAGATAAAGTATTTTGATTTCCTTTAATCTCAAATGCATCAGTATGTATTTTCTCTCTAACCCCTTCCCCTTCCCACAATCCTTCATAGAGAGGCAATGAAACAATGTAACTTAAAAGATAAAGTAACTAAAATAATAGGTATCCTGAATGGATTCTGGAATAGAAGAATATTAGTGGAAAAACTGGTGAAATCCAAATAAAGTCTACAGTTAACTGTATTGTGCCAATGTCAATTTCTTAGCTTTGACAAATGTACCATGATGACATAAGAGATTAACATTAGAGGGAGCTGGGTGAAGTGTATATAGGAACTCTATGTACTATCTTTGCAACTTTTAAAAATTATTTCAGGCTGAGCACGGTGGCTCATGCCTGTAATCCTGGCACTTCGGGAGGCTGAGGCGGGCAGATCACAAGGTCAAGATTGAGACCATCCTGGCCAACATGGTGAAACCTCGTCTCTACTAAAAATACAAAAATTAGCTGGGCATGGTGGCGCACCCCTGTAATCCCAGCTACTTAGGAGGCTGAGGCAGGAGAATTGCTTGAACCTGGGAAGTGGAGGTTGCAGTGAGCTGAGATCATGCCATTGCACTCCAGCCTGGCGTCAAAGCGAGACTCTGTCTCAAAAAAAAAAAAAAAATTTCAAAATGAAAAGCGTATTGATTTTTTAAAAAGGTAAAGAAAGAACATAATTTAGACCAAAATTAGTCTCTGACTATTCAAGGAATCAGTGCATTCCGATGACACTGATATAAAATCTTCTTCCAGCTCATTCAAAGCAAGGCCAACCACGTTGCAGTGTTTTAGCAACATTTCACCAGACATAATTATTAACACATTACATAGATGAGAAAATAACTTTCATCTTAGGAGTGTGAGTCTTTTAAATCATCAGGCCCAGAGAGACATTAAAATGAGAGAGCTATACGTCCTATTCCCCGCTTTGAGCTATGGATTCATCCCTTGAAACTGCTTGCTATTGCCACAGATAGCTATAACTTAACCTAATAATGCTTAACCTGACACTATATCCACACCCTATGGCTTAACGATGTACAGCCAATCACTGATCAATGTTATATCTATAAACCAATAATAATTCTTGACAAACAACTTTGTACTAGCAATCTCTAGTCTCCTTTTTTTGCCTTTAAAAAATCTGCTTATAATACAGGCCAAATGGTGCTCATAACCAAGGCTACCTGGGTCTGAGTCTTCCAGGCAGCTCTTCCCACTTTGGCTCAAGTAAACTTTTAAAATCGTATTTGGTGTTAGGCCTCTTCCTTTTAGGTCGACGTGAAAAAGCTGTCTGAAACACCGTTAGGAAAAAAAACACTAGATCACAACACTAGAGAAAATATGTTTATATTAATGTAGATTATAGACATGAGGAGGAAAAATTTACCTCAAGAATGGCTTTGCTTTTGGAAAAACTTGTGAACTTCATCAAACTGTTGCTTGAGGCTACCTTGGGGAATGGGACCAGGGAAACATATCATTTTGACCCTATATGCTTTTTCACTGCAAGACCTCTTTTTTGGATGAGAATGTGTTAATTTTGTACATTTTTAAACAAAGTTTGTTTTTTTTTTAAATAGCAGGTTATGCATTATGTAGAGAAAATAGCTATGTTTGAAATGGAAAACTAGCAACAACCGTAGTAATAAAATATAAAGAAATATAGTAATCAAAAAGAAAGAAAGAGATTGCAGGAAGTCTGGAAGAGAATACATCCAAAATGTTAATGGTGCTTATATGTGACAGTAAGAGGAATTTTTTAAATTCTGTATTTTATGTTTGCTATAGTCAACATGGATTCTTTTCATTATCACGAAGACTTTTTAAAAATTACAACATTTACATACATATGATGATCAATTTTTTGTACTTTTATGATATTTGTTCCTACATGGGTCTTTAAACTTGACTAGATGGCAAGTTTCAGAATGCAAATCATAAATTACTTTTAGAACAGATCCTATTAAAAAAAAAAAAAAAGACAGGCCAAGCGCAGTGGCTCACGCCTGTAATCCCAGTACTTTGGGAAGCCGAGGCAGGCAGATCACGAGGTCAGGAGTTCAAGACCAGCCTGACCAACATGGTAAAACCCCATCTTTACTAAAAATACAAAAATTAGACGGGTGTGGTGGCATGCACCTGTAATCTCAGCTACTCAGGAGGCTGAGGCAGGAGAATCGCCTGAACCCGGGAGGTGGAGGTTGCAGTGAGCTGAAATCATGCCACCGCACTCCAGCCTGGGTGACACAGCGAGACTCTGTCTCAAAAAAAAAAAAGACAAAATCTTTGTCAGTGATGCATGATTGGTTTAGTTTCCTTTTCAAGATTATTTAGAAAAAATATTTAGCTGTGTACACGGGCTGCTTTCCAACATACAGGGAGATGCTGTTTGAATACTCCTGCAAAGTGTCTGAAAGCAAATATTTAGTAAGTATTTCAAAAGAATTTCAAACCTCTTCTGGCTTCCTATCTCTGTGGTTTCTCTTTTCAGTTGAATATCCCTGAGACACCACAAACAAAACAAGTGCCCAATCAAATCCACTGTCTTAGCTTCTTCACATTCCCAGACCTCTGTTCTCCTTCCACCTTTCCCTGAATTGAAAGCAGGGCTTGTTTGCTCCAGAAAAACAAACAAACAGAAAGATCTGCAGGGGACTTCACTTCTCCTAGGAGGGTGCTAGGCCAGGACGGCCACATTTCTCAGAACTAAGGGGAACAGAAACTGTCTGGTGGAAGGAGGAAGCTCTCAAGAACAGCACAGCAATAGCCCCGAGGAGCAGGGAGCACTTGGCAGCCAGGGTGAGTGTGAACTTTGAGAAGGAAGAAAGATGTTTAAAGGTGATTTGTAGGAAACTTTGCCCTTGTAAAGTGCTGCATCCCTCAGCCCCACTCCCAGGACAGCACTCCACCTCCATCTTCACCCCAGGCTTCAAACAAGGCAGTATAAAAACTGACTGTGTTTGAAGTCAGACTCCAACACTTAGTGGCTATATCACCTTGGTTAAGTTAGTTCACCTCTCTGTTCTAATTTCCTGAACTGATCTCCTCATTTGTAAAATGGAATATGGTCCTGCCTACTTTATGAGGTTTTTGTGAGGATTAACTGAATTAATCCATTAATATAACCAAAACAATGACTCACTATGATTCTAAGAGCTATTTAGCCATGCGTGAGTTAGCTATTGTTTTTCTGGGCTGTCAGAGTTCAACAGGTGCTGCTTTGAATGTACTTTGAGCAAACTCTAGCTCAAAAGGAATCTTGTAGAATTTGAGATACTATTTTGATTGTTACCATTATCCACTCAGTCACCCAATCACTCCTTTAACCCCTAGACTTAATCAAGCTCTGTTGATTCATACCCCTCAATAAGTCTCCTCTCCAGTGCCTCAATTTTTGCTTAGATCACTGCAAGAGCTACCAACATTTTTTTCCTTTCTTCAGCAACTTTCATCCTCGATGTGGAAGGAAATCAAGATATTTTACCCCAAAATATATTTCTTTGATATACTTTGAGATGACTGCCAGAGGGCCAGCAAACGGAATTGGCCCTACAAAGCTGTCTTTCCTGGGGGAAATTTACATCTGTAGAGAATCTATATTCATGCAGCCAGGATTCCCTTGTCAGATCTAGGAAAGATTAAGAGTCTGACACCTTTAGAGGTGAGAGAATTTGGTAAAGGTAAGAAGAATTTGTCATCTATTCTGTCTGCTACCCATGAGGTTTCATCTATATAATAAGGCCAACTTTGCTAGGCAGGCCTCCTGTTCTGTCTCTCTCATAACCTGTTTTGCCACTAAAGCCTAGTTTACCACCATAGCCTGTTTTTGGCTGTGCTCTGAATCCATATTCTTTCTGTAACCTCGAGGTGGAGGGCTTTCATTTTGAAGGCCCCTGTGTCATGAAAAACTATGATCAAATAAATTTGTATGCCTTTTCTCCTATTAATCGTCTTCTTGTTAAATATTTTCAGCAAACCTTCAGAGAGTGAAGGGGACGCTTTCCCTTGCCTTCAACAATGTCCTTCAAAATGGCACCAGATCCATATGCATTACTCCCCAGCCTAAGCCCCACTGCGTTTGATCAATAACCATTATTTTGTTTTCAACTCAATGTCTTACCCTCAAGTCCTGCTATTTCCCATCCACCTACCTCATCTTTGCCAGTATCCTCCTTGTACTGGCGTGACTCCAGTCCAGGTCCTTCCATGTTTCCTTTTCTTTCTTGGGGTTGATCTTTTCATGATTCTTTAACAAATCAGTTGCTATTAAGCCTTCATGACACTGATAAAAAATCTTCTCTTCTACAAAGTCTTTCTCAGCAATCCCAAGCAAAGTTAGTCATTTCCTCCTTTGTTTACATTTCACTTGATATATACCTTGTCTTTTCACATAACAGGTTGTGCTGGAATTATGTGTTTATGGGCCTCACTCAATGACAGGGACTGAGCATATTTCTTTGTTTGCCCAGAGCCACCCCCACATGCCTGGCACATCAAAGATGTTTAATAACGATGTAGTGAGTGAATAATAAATAAATGGGTTAGTATAACATCTCAGATGATATTTACATTGTGTCGATGAAAACAGTCAAACTCTGTAAAATATTTGAAGAGATTTATTCTGAGCCAGTTATGAGTGACTAATGGCCCATGACACAGCCTCAAAAGATCCTGAAAACATAAGCTCAAGGTGGTTGGGCCACAGCTTTGTTTTATACATTTTAGGGAGACATGAGACATCAATTAATACATGTAAGATGTACAATGGTTCAGTTCAGAAAGGTGGAACAACTGGAATTGGGGGCTTCCACGTCACAGGCAGGTTCAAAGATTTTCTGATTGGCAATTGGTTGAAAGTGTTATTATCAATAGAAAGGAATGTCTGGATTATGATAAGGGTTGTGGAGACCAAGGTTTTATCATGCAGATAAAGCCTCCAGGTAGCAGATTTGAGAGAGAATAGATTGTAAATATTTCTTATCAGACTTAAAGAGCCTCTTATATCAGTAATTCCAAAAGGGAGGAGGGTATAATGAGGCATTTTGGCTCCCTTTTCTCATCATGGCCTGAACTCATTTTTTTCAGGTTAGCTTTGGAATGCCCCTGGCTGAGAGGAGGGGCCCATTCAGATGGTTGTGGTGCCTTAGAATTTTATTTTTGGTTTACAATTCATGGGAGAGTAAATATAGTAAAGGAGAGACAAACAGTATACAGGCTCCACCACTAGAGCATATGACTCTGGGCAAATTCCTTATGCTCTCTGTGCCTCCCTTTCCCCCTTGACAAAATAATGACAATGATATCTTTATGTGTATGTGAGCATTCAATTAATCAATAAATGTAATTATGTGTATTAGTTACTGTTGTTGTTGATGTTCATGGAGAGAGTATTACTGTAAACCCCAGGAAAGACAGGGACTTTGTTTTGACTCACCATTTAATTTCTAACATTTGTTATAGCATTTCTTGAGGAATAAGCACTCAATAAAGATTCAAGTGGGCACAGTGGCTCATGACTGTAATCCCAGCTACTCAAGAGGCTGAGGCAGGAGGATTGCTTGAGGCCAGGAGTTTGAGACCAGACTGGGAATCATAGCTAGATGGTGTCTCTACAAAAAATTCAAAAATTGGCCAGAGGTGGTAGAGTGTGCCTTGTGTTCCAGGTACTCAGTAGGCTGAATTGGGAGGATTGCTTGAGTTTAGAAGTTTGAAGTTGCAGTGAGCTATGATTGCATCACAGCACTCCAGCCTGAGTGACAGAGTGAGTGAGACCCCCATCTCTCGCTCTCTCTTTTTTTTTTTTTTTTTTTGGAGATAGAGTCTCACTTTGTTGCCCAGGCTGGAGTGCAGTGGCATAGTCTTGGCTCACTGCAACCTCTGCCTCCCAGGTTCAAGTGATTCTCCTGCCTCCGCCTCTTGAGGATTCATCTTATTAGGTAGCTAAAATTGGTAACATTTGCTGGATATGTCATTTATCAAAAAGTGATTGGGCTGTGGGTATTTGACCCTTAAGTATGAAATGCATGCCTTCTTCTGAGCCAGAGTTACCAGTTTGTTGACTTTTCAGAGTTTGTGACTTATCTGGAGTAGCTGGGATTACAGGCAACTGCCACCAGGCCCAGCTAATTTTTGTATTTTTTTTTTTTAGTAGAGACATGGGGTTTTGCCATCTTGGCCAGGCTGGTCTTGAACTCCTGACCTCAGGTAATCCACCTGCCTTGGCTTCCCAAAGTGCTGGGATTACAGGTGTGAGCCACCGTGCCTGGCCCCCAACTCTCTTAAAAACAAAAAAAAGAATTGTGAAATGAACATAAGTATAATAAAAAGAGAACATAAAAGAAGATAGAAATGCACTCACACACACAAAGGGCAAGTGAGAATGCATTTGTGCATCTGATACAAAGTACAAAACTGTTGTTAAGTCACCTTAGGTGCTCACCACTGTGGGATGACTAAGGGGGACAGTTCTGGAGGCTGGGAAGTCCAAGATCAAGGTACTGGCAGATTTGATGTCTAGTGAGAACCTGCTTCCTAGTTCCCAGTTTTCTCTCATGGCAGAAAGTTGATGAGAAAGCTCCTTGGGGTCTCTTTCATCAGGGCACTAATCCTATTCATGGGCGCTCCACCCTCACGAACTAATCAGCTACAAAAGGCCCCCACCTGCTAATACCATCACATTGGGGGTTAGGATTTCAACATACGAATTTAGAGGGGACACAAACATTTAGTCTATAGTACAATGTAAATAATGACAACTAAGAATACTCACATAGGCCAAGCATGGCAGGTGGCTCATGTCTGATATCCCAGCACTTTGAGAGGCCGAAGTGGGAGGATTGCTTCAGCCCAGGAGTTCAAAACCAGTCTAGGCAACATAGCAAGACCTTAGCTCTAAAAAATAAATAAACAAATAAATGAATAAATAAAAAAATAAGAAAAGTCAGCCAAATGTGGTGGTGTACACCTATAGTTCTAGCTACTTGGATAGCCAGTGCAGGAGGATTGCTTGAACCCAGAAGTTCAAGACTGAAGTGAGCTATGATCTCACCCCTGCACTCCAGCCCAGGTGATACAGTGAGATCCTGTCTCAAAAAAAAAAAAAAAAAAGAATACTCCCACGTAAAACTGAGCAAATTTTCTGTACAGTAAGTCCTCACTTAATGTCACCAATATGTTATTGGGAACTTCAACTTTAAGCAAAATAATGTATAATGAAACCAATTTTACCATAGGCTAATTGATACAAACAAGAGTTATGTTTCTATGGCATATTTCTGGTCATAGAAACATTACCAAACTTCTAAATAAAGACCTAAAACACTTCTAATATTAAACATTAAAATAAATAAATGTTTAAAGATAAGACAGGTAAATAAAAACAAGTAAGATATTTATTTATTTACCTGATTTTTGGTCAGTCAGTGAGTGACAGCAATAGTAGTGGTGGTGGTTAAATCAAAAGTATTTGCAAAGCAAAATTAGTAAGAGGCTCCTCCTACCACTACACAGTTAAAAAACAAACAATAACGAATATAGCAGGCTCACTGAGCACTTTCATACCACATCATTTATTGTTGTGTGTTTGTATGATTACCATATACTTTATGAATATTTATTTTATAATAACTTGTTTTCACTTATCTTCCAACCTGCTTATTCCAGTTCAGGGTCTTGGGTAGCTGGAACCTATCTCAGCAGCTCAGGGCGAGAAGTGGAAATCAACGCTGGACAGGCAGGACACCATTCCATCACGGGGCACACTCACACACACACCCACACTCAGATTAGGACATTTAGACACATCCACTCACCTAATGTGCACATCTTTGGGGTGTGGAAAGGAACTGAGTAGCCAGAGGAAACCCACACAGACGTGGGGAGAATGTGTAAACTTCACACAAACAGTGGCCCAGCTGGGAATTGATTTTTTTTTTCCTTATCAATGTCATAACACAATGACATTGAAAAAAAATGTTATTCAAGGACCTGCTATACTTAGTTTTATAATTTCACTGTATGTAACTCTGAACACCGTATCTTTCTTTAGAGTTCACTTAAGATTCATCTTATTAGGTAGCTAAAATTGGTGTCATTTGCTGGATATTACTTATCAAAAAGTGATTGGGCTGTGGGTGTTTGACCTTTAATATGAAATGCATGTCTTCTCCTGAGCCAGAGTCACCAGTTTGTTGACTGTTCAGGATCTCATCAAACTAGTTCTTTGCTCAGATAAAAAAGAGCTCAATGCCCAGATTG